>NC_000009.12:101099339-101250855 GCF_000001405.40 Homo sapiens
GGTAAATATTCATGTCCTAAATATTGACTAGGAAGAAGGATTTGTTTTCTGATTTCTGACATATATTGCAAAGTTGAGAGAAATTAATTGTGGTGGGAAAAAAAAGCATGAAATGCAAATATATCCAGCTCTCCCTGTCTGTGGGTTACCCATCCATGAATTCAACCAACCTCAGATTGAAAATACATGGGGAGAAAAAGGATGGTTACATCTGTACTGAACAGGTACAGACTTTTTTCCCTTTGCATCATTCCCTAGACAATACGATATGACAGCCACTTACATAGTGCTTACATTGTATTAGGTATTATAAGGAATTAAGAGATGGTTTAGGATATACAGGAGAATGACCATGCGTATGTTATATGCAAAAACTACACCATTTTATGTAAGGGATTTGAGTATCTGTAGATTTTGGTATTCTTGAGAAGTCCTGGAACAACTCCCCCATGGATACCAAGGGATGACAGTACACTAAATAAATATGGCTCACCAGAAAGTGCCCTTCTTTCTCCTCTTCTCCCCTTGAAGCAGTGAAGGAGTCTGTGCTGTATAGAACTGAAAGAGAGTTTTCCACTAATGTCCAATAATAAATTGCTTCCCAGATCCAGTCACTGATGATTATTTTTTCTCAGTGTATTGCAGTAAAATGAGAAAGAGTTATAGATTTGGGAAAAAAATGTGGTGGCTGATTATTTTCTTTCTTTCTTTTTCTGACATACGGTCAGAGGGGCTCATCATTTCCTTTACAAGAATCACATTTTAGGCATTTTTTTTCTTACGTGCAATATTCTGAAACATGAAATTTACAAAAAAAAATGAGTTAATATGGGTCCCTAACTAAATTTAGAACGCAGCAAAGTAGAAAGATAAAAAGGTCTGATTTAAAGAATGTCACACATGGAAAGTGAAGAAGATGGGAAGATCTCACCTTTGGGGTGGCAGTGATTATTTTGCAATGCAAAATTATTTCATCTCCATTTGCAAAGGCAGGCTAATGAGACTGAGTGGATTAAAGGGGGGACCTGGGAAAGGAATAAGAATTAGGTTTTACCTTCTAATTACTTATTTATTTTTATTTGTGAAAAAAACCTAAGACTGCATTTTCTAGGTATTATTGGAACTGTCTGCCTTTGTATGAGTCTTCCACCCCAACTCCTCACACTTCTCTCAACTCACCTGCTTAAAGTGCAACATCATTATTTTTGACCACTAAAATAATATAATTATTACGGAAATGTATTTTAGAACACACACTTTTATATGCTAGCATTTAAGAAATTTCAAGGAATTATTTTCTGATAATATATGGGAGAAGCTCAAAGACAGTTCATCAGAAACTATTTACTCTTTGTTCCGTGTGTGTGTGTGTGTGTGTGTGTGTGTGTGTGTGTTGTGTTCCTAGTTCATATTTATCAAGCAGTTATAATACACAGGTATTTCCCCAGGTTCTTTATAATTTAATCCTCATAGTTAGGGCCCCACAGTTAGGACTGTTATTTCCCCATTCTATAGCTAAGAGAACTGTGGTTAGTAATGCAAAGTAATTCACCCACAGTAACATAGCTAAACAGTGGGAGAATCAAATGTGAATGCAGATCTGCCTGATCTCAAAACTCACACTTTGAGCCAGTGTGCAGTATTGTGTATACTAAAAGGTATGTGTAAGTAAATTAAGCCTTAAGAAATGCACACCCATTCCTGTTAGTGTCTTGTTGAGCTTACTGCTGGAACTTTGTGCATTCTTTTATTATAGCATTTGCTCTGTGTTATAATTAGTTACATTTCTCTCATTCTTTACCAATGGTTCTTGACTTTTTTGTGTGGTGGGATGGCAGTCATGAATTCTTCTAAGGATTTATCAAAGTTAGGACCTCTCTGAAGAAACATGTGGACTGGGTTAATGTGCCAGTGATGACTTACATATCATCATATATTTCTCCCATCAAAATATAATAAGTGTCCTTGGGTTTTCTGGCTTTTTATTTATCATTCTTTTATTTAGTATGCTAATACTAAAGGAAATGTGGTCCTGTCCTGAAAATGAGTGTTTACTGTCAATGCTCCTGAATCTTTGTTACTGTATGTCACCTTTTGGTCCAGCTGCAGCTCCAGAACCAGCTCTGGACAGTGGTTGACACATTTCTTGAAGACCTGAGGATAATCTGAGGTAATTCAAATGGAAAAAAAAAAAAAGAAACAATAACAATTCAGCATCAGACATTATTGCTTTCCAAAATTTCTTATGAAACACTTTATGGAATATATGGTCATCCACTTGAATAAATGGAATAAAAGGATGAATGAAACGATAAACAAATGTAAAGATCCTTTAGATATCAATGGACCATATGGTTCAAACCCTTGAACAAAACTATTAGCTCCTTGAGGGCAAATCTTTTTTTTCTGCATTCTTCATCATTCTATAGAAGCTGATTCTCAAGAACTGTGGTATTTCTTGAATATATTTAGAGAATAAACCCATGAACCCAATACAGATAACCCTAAACCACAAAGCAGATGAGCTCCTCTGTTTAAACTTTTTCCTTTAAAGCCAGTCTAGAAGCCCTTTAAAGAGTACTTGCAAATACAAGTGCAGTACTATTCTCCCAAAAAAGAATTCTGCCATCACCTCTTCCATGCTGTTTATAAGTTACTACCTTTTTCACTTATCATGTTTCTAGTAATTTTTATGTAATTGTCTGCTTTCCCATTATACTATAAGCTTGTAAACTCCTTGAAGGTAGGAACAACTTTTTTTTTTTTTTTTTTTTTGTGGTTCCTATTATAGCTTTATTCTTTTTTTTTTTATTTTATTATTATACTTTAAGTTTTAGGGTACATGTGCACATTGTGCAGGTTAGTTACATATGTATACATGTGACATGCTGGTGCGCTGCACCCACTAACTCGTCATCTAGCATTAGGTATATCTCCCAATGCTATCCCTCCCCCATCCCCCGACCCCACCACAGTCCCCAGAGTGTGATATTCCCCTTCCTGTGTCCATGTGATCTCATTGTTCAATTCCCACCTATGAGTGAGAATATGCGGTGTTTGGTTTTTTGTTCTTGCGATAGTTTACTGAGAATGATGGTTTCCAATTTCATCCATGTCCCTACAAAGGACATGAACTCATCATTTTTTATGGCTGCATAATATTCCATGGTGTATATGTGCCACATTTTCTTAATCCAGTCTATCATTGTTGGACATTTGGGTTGGTTCCAAGTCTTTGCTATTGTGAATAATGCCGCAATAAACATACGTGTGCATGTGTCTTTATAGCAGCATGATTTATAGTCATTTGGGTATATACCCAGTAATGGGATGGCTGGGTCAAATGGTATTTCTAGTTCTAGATCCCTGAGGAATCACCACACTGACTTCCACAATGGTTGAACTAGTTTACAGTCCCACCAACAGTGTAAAAGTGTTCCTATTTCTCCACATCCTCTCCAGCACCTGTTGTTTCCTGACTTTTTAGTGATTGCCATTCTAACTGGTGTGAGATGATATCTCATAGTGGTTTTGATTTGCATTTCTCTGATGGCCAGTGATGATGAGCATTTTTTCATGTGTTTTTTGGCTGCATAAATGTCTTCTTTTGAGAAGTGTCTGTTCATGTCCTTCGCCCACTTTTTGATGGGGTTGTTTGTTTTTTTCTTGTAAATTTGTTTGAGTTCATTGTAGATTCTGGATATTAGCCCTTTGTCAGATGAGTAGGTTGCGAAAATTTTCTCCCATGTTGTAGGTTGCCTGTTCACTCTGATGGTAGTTTCTTTTGCTGTGCAGAAGCTCTTTAGTTTAATTAGATCCCATTTGTCAATTTTGGCTTTTGTTACCATTGCTTTTGGTGTTTTGGACATGAAGTCCTTGCCTACGCCTATGTCCTGAATGGTAATGCCTAGGTTTTCTTCTAGGGTTTTTATGGTTTTAGGTCTAACGTTTAAATCTTTAATCCATCTTGAATTGATTTTTGTATAAGGTGTAAGGAAGGGATCCAGTTTCAGCTTTCTACATATGGCTAGCCAGTTTTCCCAGCACCATTTATTAAATAGGGAATCCTTTCCCCATTGCTTGTTTTTCTCAGGTTTGTCAAAGATCAGATAGTTGTAGATATGCGGCATTATTTCTGAGGGCTCTGTTCTGTTCCATTGATCTATATCTCTGTTTTGGTACCAGTACCATGCTGTTTTGGTTACTGTAGCCTTGTAGTATAGTTTGAAGTCAGGTAGTGTGATGCCTCCAGCTTTGTTCTTTTGGCTTAGGATTGACTTGGCGATGCGGGCTCTTTTTTGGTTCCATATGAACTTTAAAGTAGTTTTTTCCAATTCTGTGAAGAAAGTCATTGGTAGCTTGATGGGGATGGCATTGAATCTGTAAATTACCTTGGGCAGTATGGCCATTTTCACGATATTGATTCTTCCTACCCATGAGCATGGAATGTTCTTCCATTTGTTTGTGTCCTCTTTTATTTCCTTGAGCAGTGGTTTGTAGTTCTCCTTGAAGAGGTCCTTCACATCCCTTGTAAGTTGGATTCCTAGGTATTTTATTCTCTTTGAAGCAATTGTGAATGGGAGTTCACTCATGATTTGGCTCTCTGTTTGTCTGTTGTTGGTGTATAAGAATGCTTGTGATTTTTGTACATTGATTTTGTCTCCTGAGACTTTGCTGAAGTTGCTTATCAGCTTAAGGAGATTTTGGGCTGAGACGATGGGGTTTTCTAGATAAACAATCATGTCATCTGCAAACAGGGACAATTTGACTTCCTCTTTTCCTAATTGAATACCCTTTATTTCCTTCTCCTGCCTGATTGCCCTGGCCAGAACTTCCAACACTATGTTGAATAGGAGCGGTGAGAGAGGGCATCCCTGTCTTGTGCCAGTTTTCAAAGGGAATGCTTCCAGTTTTTGCCCATTCAGTATGATATTGGCTGTGGGTTTGTCATAGATAGCTCTTATTATTTTGAAATACATCCCATCAATACCTAATTTATTGAGAGTTTTTAGCATGAAGGGTTGTTGAATTTTGTCAAAGGCTTTTTCTGCATCTATTGAGATAATCATGTGGTTTTTGTCTTTGGCTCTGTTTATATGCTGGATTACATTTATTGATTTGCATATATTGAACCAGCCTTGCATCCCAGGGATGAAGCCCACTTGATCATGGTGGATAAGCTTTTTGATGTGCTGCTGGATTTGATTTGCCAGTATTTTATTGAGGATTTTTGCATCAATGTTCATCAAGGATATTGGTCTAAAATTCTCTTTTTTGGTTGTGTCTCTGCCCGGCTTTGGTATCAGAATGATGCTGGCCTCATAAAATGAGTTAGGGAGGATTCCTTCTTTTTCTATTGATTGGAATAGTTTCAGAAGGAATGGTACCAGCTCCTCCTTGTACCTCTGGTAGAATTCAGCTGTGAATCCATCTGGTCCTGGACTCTTTTTGGTTGGTAAACTATTGATTATTGCCACAATTTCAGATCCTGTTATTGGTCTATTCAGAGATTCAACTTCTTCCTGGTTTAGTCTTGGGAGAGTGTATGTGTCGAGGAATGTATCCATTTCTTCTAGATTTTCTAGTTTATTTGCGTAGAGGTGTTTGTAGTATTCTCTGATGGTAGTTTGTATTTCTGTGGGATTGGTGGTGATATCCCCTTTATCATTTTTTATTGTGTCTATTTGATTCTTCTCTCTTTTTTTCTTTATTAGTCTTGCTAGCGGTCTATCAATTTTGTTGATCCTTTCAAAAAACCAGCTCCTGGATTCATTGATTTTTTGAAGGGTTTTTTGTGTCTCTATTTCCTTCAGTTCTGCTCTGATTTTAGTTATTTCTTGCCTTCTGCTAGCTTTTGAATGTGTTTGCTCTTGCTTTTCTAGTTCTTTTAATTGTGATGTTAGGGTGTCAATTTTGGATCTTTCCTGCTTTCTCTTGTGGGCATTTAGTGCTATAAATTTCCCTCTACACACTGCTTTGAATGCGTCCCAGAGATTCTGGTATGTGGTGTCTTTGTTCTCGTTGGTTTCAAAGAACATCTTTATTTCTGCCTTCATTTCGTTATGTACCCAGTAGTCATTCAGGAGCAGGTTGTTCAGTTTCCATGTAGTTGAGCGGCTTTGAGTGAGATTCTTAATCCTGAGTTCTAGTTTGATTGCACTGTGGTCTGAGAGATAGTTTGTTATAATTTCTGTTCTTTTACATTTGCTGAGGAGAGCTTTACTTCCAACTATGTGGTCAATTTTGGAATAGGTGTGGTGTGGTGTTGAAAAAAATGTATATTCTGTTGATTTGGGGTGGAGAGTTCTGTAGATGTCTATTAGGTCCGCTTGGTGCAGAGCTGAGTTCAATTCCTGGGTATCCTTGTTGACTTTCTGTCTCGTTGATCTGTCTAATGTTGACAGTGGGGTGTTAAAGTCTCCCATTATTAATGTGTGGGAGTCTAAGTCTCTTTGTAGGTCACTCAGGACTTGCTTTATGAATCTGGGTGCTCCTGTATTCGGTGCATAAATATTTAGGATAGTTAGCTCCTCTTGTTGAATTGATCCCTTTACCATTATGTAATGGCCTTCTTTGTCTCTTTTGATCTTTGTTGGTTTAAAGTCCGTTTTATCAGAGACTAGGATTGCAACCCCTGCCTTTTTTTGTTTTCCATTGGCTTGGTAGATCTTCCTCCATCCTTTTATTTTGAGCCTATGTGTGTCTCTGCATGTGAGATGGGTTTCCTGAATACAGCACACTGATGGTCTTGACTCTTTATCCAACTTGCCAGTCTGTGTCTTTTAATTGCAGAATTTAGTCCATTTACATTTAAAGTTAATATTGTTATGTGTGAATTTGATCCTGTCATTATGATGTTAGCTGGTGCTTTTGCTCGTTAGTTGATGCAGTTTCTTCCTAGTCTCGATGGTCTTTACATTTTGGCATGATTTTGCAGCGGCTGGTACCGGTTGTTCCTTTCCATGTTTAGCGCTTCCTTCAGGAGCTCTTTTAGGGCAGGCCTGGTGGTGACAAAATCTCTCAGCATTTGCTTGTCTATAAAGTATTTTATTTCTCCTTCACTTATGAAGCTTTGTTTGGCTGGATATGAAATTCTGGGTTGAAAATTCTTTCCTTTAAGAATGTTGAATATTGGCCCCCACTCTCTTCTGGCTTGTATGGTTTCTGCCGAGAGATCCGCTGTTAGTCTGATGGGCTTTCCTTTGAGGGTAACCCGACCTTTCTCTCTGGCTGCCCTTAACATTTTTTCCTTCATTTCAACTTTGGTGAATCTGACAATTATGTGTCTGGGAGTTGCTCTTCTCGAGGAGTATCTTTGTGGCGTTCTCTGTATTTCCTGAATCTGAACGTTGGCCTGCCTTGCTAGATTGGGGAAGTTCTCCTGGATAATATCCTGCAGAGTGTTTTCCAACTTGGTTCCATTCTCCACATCACTTTCAGGTACACCAATCAGACGTAGATTTGGTCTTTTCACATAGTCCCATATTTCTTGGAGGCTTTGCTCATTTCTTTTTATTCTTTTTTCTCTAAACTTCCCTTCTCGCTTCATTTCATTCATTTCATCTTCCATCGCTGATACCCTTTCTTCCAGTTGATCGCATCGGCTCCTGAGGCTTCTGCATTCTTCACGTAGTTCTCGAGCCTTGGCTTTCAGCTCCATCAGCTCCTTTAAGCACTTCTCTGTATTGGTTATTCTAGTTATACATTCTTCTAAATTTTTTTCAAAGTTTTCAACTTCTTTGCCTTTGGTTTGAATGTCCTCCCGTAGCTCAGAGTAATTTGATCGTCTGAAGCCTTCTTCTCTCAGCTCCTCAAAATCATTCTCCATCCAGCTTTGTTCCGTTGCTGGTGAGGAACTGCGTTCCTTTGGAGGAGGAGAGGCGCTCTGCATTTTAGAGTTTCCAGTTTTTCTGTTCTGTTTTTTCCCCATCTTTGTGGTTTTATCTACTTTTGGTCTTTGATGATGGTGATGTACAGATGGGTTTTCGGTGTAGATGTCCTTTCTGGTTGTTAGTTTTCCTTCTAACAGACAGGACCCTCAGCTGCAGGTCTGTTGGAATACCCTGCCGTGTGAGGTGTCAGTGTGCCCCTGCTGGGGGGTGCCTCCCAGTTAGGCTGCTCGGGGGTCAGGGGTCAGGGACCCACTTGAGGAGGCAGTCTGCCCGTTCTCAGATCTCCAGCTGCGTGCTGGGAGAACCACTGCTCTCTTCAAAGCTGTCAGACAGGGACACTTAAGTCTGCAGAGGTTACTGCTGTCTTTTTGTTTGTCTGTGCCCTGCCCCTAGAGGTGGAGCCTACAGAGGCAGGCAGGCCTCCTTGAGCTGTGGTGGGCTCCACCCAGTTCGAGCTTCCCGGCTGCTTTGTTTACCTAAGCAAGCCTGGGCAATGGCGGGCGCCCCTCCCCCAGCCTCGTTGCCGCCTTGCAGTTTAATCTCAGACTGCTGTGCTAGCAATCAGCGAGATTCCGTGGGCGTAGGACCCTCTCAGCCAGGTGTGGGATATAGTCTCGTGGTGCGCCGTTTTTTAAGCCGGTCTGAAAAGCACAATATTCGGGTGGGAGTGACCCGATTTTCCAGGTGCGTTCGTCACCCCTTTCTTTGACTCGGAAAGGGAACTCCCTGACCCCTTGCGCTTCCCAGGTGAGGCAATGCCTCGCCCTGCTTCGGCTCGCGCACGGTGCGCGCACACACTGGCCTGCGCCCACTGTCTGGCACTCCCTAGTGAGATGAACCCGGTACCTCAGATGGAAATGCAGAAATCACCCGTCTTCTGCGTCGCTCACGCTGGGAGCTGTAGACCGGAGCTGTTCCTATTCGGCCATCTTGGCTCCTCCCCTCAGGAACAACTTTTATCTTCTACTATTGTAATTCCATGTTTTTGGAAATAATAATAATAATAATCATGTTTGTTAAAAGAGACTTGAATCAGGTAATGCATGATAAAAATCAATTGATCTGTCTATGGACCAGGAGTTGTCAGATAGTAAGCATCTTGCAAGGCTTATTCTACTTCGTATTCCTGACTGATAGCATAGAATCTGGTACCCAGTAGGTGCTCAATAGATGTTTGTTGAATGAAATAAAAACATGCATAGGTGATGCATAAAGAAATGATTATGCAATGTTTTGGATAAGTAGTATGATAAGATAATTTATTGTCCACTTTGAGACTCTTTGTGAAGACAGGCACTGTTTGTAACTAAGTAGTCATGCCAGAACAACAGGCATAGACAAGAACTGTCCAGGCATACAAGAAATTTGGTCACCTTAAGACAGCAAAATGGATTTCTGTTTAGAGAAAATAAAAACCAATAGCATTGTAATTCAGTTCCTTTTATCCTTATTCTTCCTTTGTTTCTTTATTTCTGGTAAATCCCACTTCATGCCATAAATTAACTCCAAACAATTAAGCTACATCTTTTGTCTGCTTTGGAAGTTTCAGAATTCTTTTCATTTCCAAGAGCTATTTTTTATAAAATGTGTTTTTATGTTAATATGCAATGGGTTTATTAGTGTTATTCCTGAATTAATAAATATTTTTTCAGTTTATCAATATTATTTACCAATATAGTAAAGACTGATATAACCCACATAAGCAAAAGCTCTTTTTTGTCTTCAATAATTTTTTTTTTTTTTTTGAGATGGAGTCTCCCTCTGTCACCCAGGCTGGAGTGCAGTGGCGCGATCTCGGCTCACTGCAAGCTCCGCCTTCCGGATTGACGCCATTCTCCTGCCTCAGCCTCCCAAGTAGCTGGGACTACAGGCGCCCGCCACCACGCCTGGCTAATTTTTTGTATTTTTTTTTTTTTTTTTTTTTTTTAGTAGAGTTGGGGTTTCACCGTAGCCAGGATGGTCTCTATCTCCTGACGTCACGATCCGCCGGCCTCGGCCTCCCAAAGTGCTGGGATTACAGGTGTGAGCCACCGCGCCCGACTGGTCCTCAGTATTTTTGAAGGGTATAAAGGGGTCCTGAAATCAAATAGTTTGGGAACCTCTGATCTACTGTAATTAAACACCATCATTTCAATAGAAAACTGAAACTTAGATTTCCCCAAGGGCGTAGTTGATGCATTTAAATAAGCATTTTATCATCTTCTCTCTTTTGACATTGCTCATCATGTTTCGTATATCTAAGATTGTGAGCTCTTATAAAGCCAGTGCTATGCCATATACTTCTGGCTTATAGCACAATCATAGCTACACAGGAAGTATTCAAAATGTACTCACTGAGTGAATTATTATTCCCGTAAATTTCAAAATTTCTTCTAGTATGTTTTTCAAAAGGTATACATAGTAGGTTCATGCACAAAGCACTTAATGTTGATTTTTTTAGCATTCCCATGGCAAGATCTTATAATTTAGTAATCTGTAATCCTATTATCCCAGGATAATCGCTGTTAGTATTCTTGGGTATATTCCTTTTTTCTTTTTCAATACAGTTTGGAGTATTTGAGTACGACCTTATATTTTAATAAATTTTCCTCATAATCAACTAGCCATATATAATATCTGCCACTGGGCAGATTGTTTGTGACATGTCACTTTCAAAGTTACTTTGAATTCTTGGCATATACAAATGGCCATTGTGTGGTGCTGAGTGACTCTGCTTTAGGAAAGGTGGGGATGCTTCTGTTCAATAATTTCCCAGCAAAGTATCCCAGACATGTAAACAGTTAGTCATTTTCAACAGTACTAAAAGAAAACAGCTCTTGTTATTGTTTTAAATTATCATCTTCAAAAGCAATATAATATGTATGTAAAGTGAATAATATAAATTACAAAACAAGTTTTTAGCTAACAAATTAGCTGAAGAATAGCAGGAACAAGAATTTCACCAGGCTTCAGAATTCATATGATGATTCAACAGGATTTTTGAATTTGAGTTTCAGATTGAGTGATAGATCTCACTTATAATTTAAAACATACAAATGACAATAACAACAAAAATAATACAGTTTCTTAGCTTGCAGAGTGACAAGGATTAAAATGTTGCATAATACTCAGTGTTGCTGAGGATAATAAAAATGTAAATAAACACAACTATTTAGATGGCAATATGGAGACATCTAGCAAAATTAAAAGGCATCTATCCATTTACCTAGCAAATTCCTTTTATTCTGAAACATTTACACAAATTTGCAAAATACACGTAGAAGAATGTTATATCATTGTTTTTAATAGCAAAAATTGAATGAAACCTACTGTCTATCAATTGTGGACTGTTTTTATGAGCCATGATATATCCAGGCCACTAAATCTAGTAAAATTATCAAAAGGATTGAGGTAGAGATATAATGTCCTGATAGTGAATACTCTCCAAGGGGTATTGCTAAGATTTAGCATGCTTCAATTTTTGTAATTTCTGGACGAATAAGAAGTTGCTAACAGTGGTTACATCTAAAGTGCAGGGTGGCATGGAGGAAGAAAAAATATAGGTGTTTGCTTTTTGAGAAATGATGTTCATGTGTTACTTCTATAATTAGTAATAGTTTATAAAGAGCCTTAAGATGTATACCTTTTGATCCAGCAATATGATATTTTGGAATTAATCTTATGGGAATAACTAGGTATGTGTGCAAAGCCATGGTCCCATAAGATGTTCTTTTTGCCTTGCTAATAATCGTGAAGAATTGGGAGCAATATAAGTGATCAACCACAGAAGATGGGTTAATGGAATTATAGTTTGTTATTAAAAATAATGTCATAAAGGAATATTAATCATATATTAGATGATGACCCTTGGAAAAGTATGGACAGTGTAACTAAATATCTAAAATGATATATACCAAAACATGACTAGCGGTGGGGTAATGGGTGATTTTTATATTCTTCTTTTTATTTTTAAATCTATGTTTCCTAAGTACTCTCTAAAGAACAAGTGTTATTGCTATTAAAAAGAAAATAAGCAATTCAAGTCGTTTTCAGAAAATAACAAATAAAAGCTAGGAAGATATTCCTGCTAAGGGTAAATCAATCTTCTCTTGATATTATTAGAATATCTGATTCTATATTATTGTAGCCCAATTCTATTTCATAGTTCAGTAATGCTAATAATGCTTTGCTTATGCAATAGAATTTATATGTAACTGATGCATTCATAAGACCTTTTCTATTTAGCAGTCAATTCCTTTAATAAAAATATTTTGGAGATTGTATGGTGAAATATTTGGGGGATAGTATTTTCCTGTTATACCTATATTTGCATGCCTAAATAACATTAAATTATCAATGCAATTTGGTATGATTTGTCAATATTCTGTTAGTGCTAGTCTGGCATTTTATAAATAGATTTATTTATTTTGCTAAGATAGACAAACTATGAAGCACTGTCAGTTACTTTGTGAAAATTTCAAATACCAGGTAGTGAAACCTAATAGCACAGTTGTAAAAACTGCATATTATTATTTTCTGAGTCTCTCTGACCCCACAGCAGTGCAAATGCTTGCATTTCTCTCTGCTTGACCCAATTGAATCATATCGTTTTAAGGTATCTGTCCACCCAACCTACCATGGATAATGAGACATTTAGAAAGGCATATAAATATTAGAAAGTCTTTGTAGTAGAACTGAATAAAATGTATTCGCTCAAATACCAATGTTTTTAAATAGATACAGCGTTGCTTCAGCCTCACCTCCTCCCTTCCCAACCACATAATGTGCTTTATTTAAACAAATTGAAGTTCAGAGGATCATTTGGAATTTCCCTGTCCCCATATACACACTTTATCAGCAGGCATACATGTCAACTGAGAATCATATTTAAAGACAATGCAGTTTTACAATGTTATTTAAACATCTTACCTGCGTATTAGCTTAACACCTAGTTTGTCACTTAGAAACTTTTGTGTCAAAAATTATTCATGGTGGTGAAGACAACTTTCAGATTCTGTCATTTCTATATTGTTTTATGAAGCACATACATATATGTATTTATATTTACATAATAGGCAACAGGTACTCCACATATAGAATTAAAAAGTGAGTACAGAAGGAAATAAAAGTTTATTTTCATGAATAGCATTTAGATAAGATTGCTGTCCTTACCTATTTAGTATTGGGTTCATATTCTGAGAGGATACAATTTTTGATTTTAGGAGTTTGGCTATTGTTCTCATCTAAAAATATCCAAGATTAACAGCTTCAGATGCAAACAGTGTCATTAGCAGTCTTTCAGATGGTTTAATACAGAAGCTATCTCTTCCTGCATTTAATCATTGTCTCCTCCTGGCATGCAGTAATTCCTTCCCTCCACATGCAGAACCCCCACATGACTCCATAGTTACCCCAAGCAGTGCAGAACTGAGCTTGACAGTTTCCGTATGGTGCTTCACACTTTGGGGAAATGTGGGAATGAGGAATGCTGAGAGTGCACCTTTCATTCCTCCAAATTGATATAGGAAGTGGTGCTGGCAGCTGTCTAACTGTGAAACATCTGAGCAGGTGTGTTAAAACTTCATCTTCACATTGTCAAATGCCAGGTGGCAGCACTTGCTTGTTTGTTTGTTTATCATTTATGTCAAAATAAACCCAGCAGAAACAAGAGCCTGTCAATTCACATGGCAGACACTGACCATTCAGATGTCTGCCTCAGATATTTTCTTTCATTTTCAGTGAACATGATTTGCAGCTTAAAAGATGGATTCTTTCTTCTAGTTTTTTACTTCTCATTTTGGGAACTGAAAAATCGTGAAAGATGCTTCTAATTATCTATTCACAGTTGTATATACCTGGACCCTCAACCGTGGCTGTGTTATTCTTTTAGACATAGACATTCAAGTTCAGGAGGTCATAGAATGGTAATCAGAGTTGAGAGAGGAAGTTATAAGAATAATTTTATTCTCTTGCTTAATTCTTAAGCATATTAATCCTTTTTTTTTTTTTTTAACCCTGGAGGATGTTTTAGTAGCCTCCAGTGTGAAAACTAAATACTGGTTCTGATTTACTTGAACCAAAACTAAACGAAACAAAACACTAAGGCATTAGGTCAGTGTTTTTGTACATTTATGCCTTTATACTATGTAAATACTGTGTGCTGTTTAGAGAAGCAACAAGAAAGTGATATGAGTAAGGGATATATAACTATTATTTATGTTTTTAATTTTTCTGCAGGAAATAGATCTCTTATAAGATGAACCAGAAAATTTATCTTCCCAAGATCTTTGCAAACCAAAATTCAAATGTACCCAGGGCACTACAATTACATTCCTAATAGGAATTTTTACAACTTCTTAAATAGTCTAGTATTGAATATGCTTGGGGGAAAATGTAAGTGTTAAGAAAGAACAGAAAAAACAAAAAAACAAAAAACAAAAAACAAAAAAACCAAAAAACAGTCTATTTTGCCACTGAAGCTTTTTCACATGCAAAAAACCAAACAACAACAAAAACAGAAAACCAACCAAACTCCTGCATTGTTGATAGACATACCTTTTTTTTTCACAAGAAAACTTTTAAAAAAGCAATTTGCATATTTCTGCAGAAACATGAAGCTCTGTGGTTCTTTTGGTTATGTTGCAGAATTGTGCAGAAGTCTCTGCCCAGCAATAAATGAAGGCAAACTTGGAAAGGTTAGCTGCAGGGTCTGCAGGCAGAGAAGAAGGCCTGGAACCTGGAAGGGGACTTCTTAGGAGATGATATGAGGAAGCACAGATAAGGAAGGAGGGAAAGACAGTGACAGGCAGAAAATAGGGACAGTTCAGATGGTCTGAAGCATTAAAAAAAGTGTAGGCGTTTTCCTTTCAAATGAAGTCAGAGAGAAAGAATAGGAATGAGAGAATGAATGAGGCCAATCTGAGGCTAAAAAAAGAGGAATCTTCTCAAACTGAGCTTCTGTAATAACAGTAGTTAATATTTCATTGAACACTGTTCTAACTGCTTTAATGTATCATTTCATCCTCACAACACCCTTGTGACCAGGGTACTACTATCATCCCCAACATAAATGAGCAGCCTAAGACCCAGACAGGTTAAGTAACTCACCAAAATCACATCCTAGTAAATGGTGTATCAGGCAGGATCCCAACAGGGGACAGATAGCACACTTGTATTTGTCTGATTTAAGGAGACCTTAAACCTGAAGATCCAGGAAATAGATATGGCTGTGTGGATAGGGTCATCTACAAAAGACTGAGATCTTTAGATAAGGAATGTAGCTGGCCCAAGGTCACTCTGCAGGGAGAGAGGTAGGAGTATCAGACCTCACTCTCCTTTCTTCCTGTCTCCTGCCATTGCTCCCCACTGGGAGGCAGGAAGGTAAGGAAGCCAGCTGATGTGACTCGCACAGGCCAACGCCTCAGGACACAGCACAGTGTAATTAAGGTAGATCTTGGGGTAAGCAACAGTGGAAAAGGGATTTGAACTTTATCTGGTTCTGGGACAGATGCTCTTAACAATTACATATCTGCCTCTCTAAGTGCAAAGTGCTTAGGTAGAGCTGGTCCCAATTTAATGAAGACCTGAATGGTCAGCGAGGGGTTACTGTTTCTCCAGCACTCCTTAAAAGCACAGTAGGTGGATGCTGGTAGACATGCATCTCTATAAAGGGGAGAGCTTAGGACAATTTGTTAATGGTCTGGTTTAGATGAACTTATTCAGTACCTTTGAGAGGTGGTGGAGAGGTCTCCTTTTTATTTTGTTATCTCTTGTAGCTAATTATGTTTCTCAGCATAGTGTGAGCCCTGCAGTTGCTGGAGATGACTCTCCAGGTAACTTCAGCATGACACTCTGGGGCCAGACTGCATTTGATTTTGCTGCCTTCTCACATTCTGTCCCATCTCCACAGTACAGAAAGTACATTCATTTATGACACCTCAATCCATTTCCACTCCAAAACCCTAGTGAAACGAAGTGCCCCACTCACTTCTGGAAGATGGCTTTCTTCTTTCCAAATGGAGCTTCAGGAATGCACGGGAAAAGAGGCAGCCTAAGCATTTACATGTATCCGTGCTCCCAGGCTGATTCACACAAAGCATCAGCAACCTGCATAAATTTAGCCTGTGAGGGCGATTGTGATAGTTGTGAGAGTGATGACTGATTTCAATATGCAAGTATTTATTGGGTGCCTAAATGGGCAAACATTGGGGTTATAGTGATGAACACAACAGATGTAGTCTTATCATACTTTTGGGATTTTACTTTTAAAAGTACAAATTGCCAGTTGAGATTGAAAGATGTGTCTTTTCTTCCCTTAGGGAATATAAGAGAGGACAAAGAATTGAGCTTAAAAGAAAATCATTGATGTAAGAGACATAAAAAACCATATTGCATAATAGCCTTTTTAGCAACCGTTACTTAAAACCTGACAGTGAAATGAGCATATATACCATATGGCATGTGTGTATTATGCCTTTATCATATTACTTGAATGTACACTTAGCTGCATCCCATTTTAATGAAAGGGATTTCTTGCTTTCTTTATACTCAGAGAATTCCCTCAGATTCAACTACACTTAGCTGCATCCCATTTTAATGAAAGGGATTTCTTGCTTTCCTTATTCTCATAGAATTCCCTCAGATTCAACTAAAAGAGATAATAACAGCAACAATAATAGTAATTTACTCCATTAAAGATGACCACTTTATGCTAAGTTCCAAATAACTCTCACTACTTAACAGCAGATTTTGGACTCTACTCAAGACCTTCCAGTTTTTCAGAGAATGAGAAGAACATTCTGTAGAAGCACAAAACTTTCAAGATTCTCTAGGAATTAATACAAATCCAAATGCGGTTCTGTGGCCAAATGTCAGTTTCATCTAGAAAATCCAATAAATAGCTATAGAGTACTGACTGTCTGAGAGGCAGGCAACCAGGAAAAAACATGCGGTTAAGAGTACAGGCTCTGAGAGAATAATTATGTTTTGGGAACTATAGTATGTCTGTTATTAGATTCTAGTCTCATGAGTTGTTTTTTAAGTTTTTTTCTGAATTTAGACTAACTCTGCTTATTCATGTGAAACCACCAGTGATCTCTGGCTGCTGCTCAGAAGAAACAAAAGGAATGGGTAATGTAAAAGTCTGAATCAATATTCTAATTTTGTCCACATATTGGAATCAGGTAGCGGTCCCATATCAGCTTGGTTCCATCAGTTGCCCAGTTCATGGAAAGCCTTCTTATTTAGTTTACTTGGGATAATTTTGCTTAACTGTTGTGGGATATATTGCTGTTGTACTCTTTGTGTAGAAATGCAGGATAACGGCTTGGCGCAGTGGCTCACGCCTGTAATCCCAGGACTTTGGGAGGCCAAGGCGGGCGGATCACAAGGTCAAGAGATCAAGACCATCCTGGCCAAGATGGTGAAACCCCATCTCTACTAAAAATACAAAAAAGCTGGGTGTGGTGGTGCGTGCCTCTAGTCCCAACTACTCAGGAGGCTGAGACAAGGTTCGCTTGAAGCTGGGAGGTGGAGGTTGCAGTGAGCCAAGATTGCACCACTGCACTCCAGCCTGGTGACAGAGTAGGACTCCATCTCAAAAAAAAAAAAAAAAGTAAAAAAAGAAATGCAAGATAAGCTTATTGAATGTTTTCCTAAATTGAGCACTTATTAATCTTCCAAATATCACCTTTTGTTGAAACTCAAGATTTATGAGTGGCCCTCAACATACTGATGCTTTCTGACCAGGCTTCTCTCTACCCTGAATATAAAAGACCTTCATAGTTAGGCAGGGATATCATATCATCGTTCCTATTCAGCCTGAAGAAGTTACAGAAGATGGATCTTCATCCCTCTGCAACCCTTAGGATTAAGGGTTCTCTTATAAAAGGAAGGGGGAAAATGTCAGAGGCTTTTAAACCAGAGTGACTTTATCATGTATAGAGGCTGGGTAAAATGAGGCTGAGACCTACTAGGCTGCATTCCCAGGAGGTTAGAGCATTCTTAGTCACAGGATGAGATAGGAGGTCAGCACTAAATACAAGTCATAAAGACCATGCTGATAAAGCAGACTGCAGTGGAGAAGCCAGCCAAAACCCACCGAAACCAAGATGATGACAAGAGTGACCTCTAGTTGTCCTCACTTCTCATTATACACTAATTATAATGTATTAGCATGCTAAAAGACATTCCCACCAGCACTATGACAGTTTATAAATGGCATGGCAATGTCAGGAAGTTACCCTATATGATCTAAAAAGGGGAGGAAGCTTCACTTCCAGAAATTGTTCACCCTTTTCCTGGAAAACTCATGAATAACTCACTCCTTGTTTAGCATATAATAAAGAAATAACCATAAAAATGGGCAGCCAGCAGCCCATGCTGCTGCTCTGCCTATGAAATAGCCATTCTTTTATCCCTTTACTTTCTTAATAAACTTGCTTTCACTTAAAAAAAAAAAAAAAAGTACAGGCTCTGAAATCACACATGTGAAAGAAAACCTTAGGCAAATAGTTTAATTTCCAAAGTCTTAGTGTCCTTCTCTTTAAATGGAGATACTACCTCTTTCAAAAGGCAATTGTGAAGATCAAATGACAACCTGCACCTAGCACAGAACCTGGCACATCTGAGCACTCAATAAACATTCCTTGATCCTACCAGTATTCTCATAATCACCATAGTTTTGTCTGACTCCCTCTTTTCAAATTAAGTGGTACTCTGGGATATTGGGGTTAACCCTGTCCAAGGGCTGCTTTGTTGGACACTGTCAGTAGAGACAGAATGTGTAAGTTTAGCAGTATTTTCAAGTAAAAAGCATAAAGGAACAATTCAGATGGTAGCCAATGGGTGAAAGAAGATAAAATAAAATATTCAGAGAAATTACCTAAGATACAGTGCAGCTGCTATAGCTTTGATTTATGACTAACATCCTAGGACAGAGATGGGGAGGAAGCTGATAAACAGAGGCTATGACCTGCTGTGGGCAATAATGTTTCAGGATCTCAGGTGCCACTTCACAGATGGGACATAGGTGTTGCCTGGTTGGGTTCTGAGTATCTGGGTTTAGTGGGGCTGAGCTGAGACAGCCAAAGAGAAAGCACATAAATATCCAAGGGAGAGAATGTGTCTGGCTTCAGACCTTACAGATCAAAATTGTCTTTCCAGATAAAGGTCTAAAAGAGAGAGCTGAATAAATCAAACAAGAGGTGACGAGAAATTGAGGAGGAAGTGAAGCACAGAAGATCTGAGACTGATATCTGCACTGGGAAGGGATATCTGGAACTCTCTCTCTCTCTCTTTCTCTCTCCATGGGTTCTGGGGTTGCACATTGGTTGAGATAAAGATGAATTTCAGTTGGACCAGCAGATATTGGAGAATGATGAGAGCAGCAGTTAAGGAAGGTAGGGGAAATATTATGGAGCCTACTTTAGATCATGCTAAGGGGTTTCTATTTGAGCCTGTAGACAATGTTGATCAGATTTCTGTTTTACAAAGACAACCCTTAAATGCTTCACCTTATCCCCACAGTCCTAATTAATTGTCTTTGCTTCTCATTCCCACACAGCTTGGCTCTTGCCACATCGTGACTTATTTTTTATTTTTTTTCTATGACTATCTTTCTCCTTCCAACTGTGAAATTTCTTGAAGGCAGACCCTATGTCTTTGACTTTGATGCCATGTTTTTTTTTGTTTTGCTTGTTTGTTTTTTAAGACAAAGACATGGCAGGTAAAATTCAAATTTGGATGACATCCATGAAACATGAGAAGTTCGTTTCTAGAAGCTCCTGAAGGACTTGGGCTTGGGGCTCAGAGAGTAAGTTGCTTCTCTCCAATACTAAAATCAAGCCCCTGGGAATGGGCCAGCCAAATTGGACATGCAGCACCAGGAGCTTTCTGAGAGTATTTTTCTATTTCTTTTTCATCTCTTTTCTCCCCAGCCTTACCATGTTCTTGTCCACAGAGGTCAACATATGTTTAGTACATGAAAGGCGGATACCTCTTCTTTGAAGAGTAATTTGTGGACAGGGCCTTCAGAGTAGTGCTTTCCCTTGTGTTATGGTATCCTTGTGTTCCAGGGTGGTAAGCTGCTTTGGCAATGTGGCAGCCCACTGGTCTCCTGGGAGATGCTTCAAGAGTAAGCCATTTCACACCGTGCTGCCTGGGGAGCTCAGAGCAAACCCTGGCCATCAGATATGGCCAGTGGAGGGCAGCAGAGGGCTGCAGAGCATGGTCCAGTGTCCCTCTGGAGGTGATGGAACTATCAGGACAGGTATCTGCATGTGAGAGTGCAGGATTGACAGGAAAATGCCTATCAGCAATCAAGAAGAACCAATAGATTCTTCGGAGAAAGATCAGGCTGTAGAGATATTGAGGAGCTGGCACCTTGAAAACCCTGAAGTAGATTAGGGAATATCAATGGGAAACTAGAAACTCAGCATGTGGAGTAAGGACCAGCCTAACACCATAACAATAATACTTCTGCCTTCTGCAGATCACCAGAGGCCAGAGCTGGATGAGATGCCTTCCAGAGGACCTCGAAGATAACCTCAATTGGCCTTTTTGCCCCTCTATCTAGCTTAGAGAATGCAGTGGCTCTGGGCTCTGGAATAATAATCTCCTCCCCATCCTTCTTCACTTCCCTCCCCACCCAAACCACCCATTTCTGTCTCATCTGTGGTTTCATACTCAACTGTGGAGGCTAGTGCCATACATAGGTGAAAACTCAGGTTATCAGTGGCTACTCAACAGCCTCACTAGTGGCCAATCTAACCTCACTTTACTGCCATAATTAGAAGTTAGCAGGTGTTTCTACTTTTAGCCTCTGTTTTATTGGCTTTGCTTACTGGCTAAAACAGGTCTTGGGATTCTTTCTGTGGCTGATTAAGTCACACATCTTGACACCTAAAGTGATGTTCCAGCCAAAATATATTTGCACATGTAATAATAAAAATAATCATCTGCCACATATGAGAAAGAGACAGAAATCTCTCACAATTTATTTTCCATTTTATTTTTACTCCTGTTAGCACCTTCACTCTAGCCAATGGAATCCGTTGTTGTGAGTTCCTATTGTTAGCCTTGATGGCTAGATTTGCTGATATTACTGGCATTAGGCTTTGCAACTTATTTCAAGGAAAGATAACATTTGGATGTCCACATTTTTGTTCAAGGTCACTGGCCAATTGTATCTTATCAATGTCTTTATCCTTGTATCATCTATATTTATTACACCTTAAGGAAGCATCATAAATATCCTTATTGGCTAGAGCCTCACTTCCTTGTGAGGCATCTTTTTCAATGACTTATCCTTGCCTTTCTGTTCATAGTTGGTTAGCAACAGGTGCAGTTGAATAAATGGGTGGGTATGTGTCTATAAGATAAGTGCCATCTCCTTCTTTTATCTTAAGATATTTCCATTTCTTCAGCTAAACAATGGAGATGATTACACCACCATATGCTCCCCTCCTTCAACAGATGTAAGTGTGGGGTCATCACCAAAGAAAGGGTTTGAGGACCAGTTACTCAGCCACACATCCCAAATGGCTTAAGAATCTCTGTATTCTGGAAGAGAATATGGCCCTATGAGGGCCTTCCTATTATATCCAGAATTTAGTGACTTTTTCTTCCTATTACCATAATCACATCCATTGCATTGGACATATGGTGGCTTAGAGGACAGAATTAGAATTAATCAGTGAGTGGCTATTACAGGGAAACAAGGACTCAACTTAAATAGCATTTTCTAAGTTAAACTTGCCTAAAGATTGATGGGGCTGATTCACAAGGAGGTGAACTATAATCCTGGGGGTTTTAGGTAGAGGGGAAGACCAATTGTCACCACTGGTTCTCTCTGATGGCCAGATCAGATTCTTTGTAAAGTCTTCTGTAGCACTTGGGACACATAATAATTACAGGCTTCTAAAATGGGTTTCTAACAAGTTACTACTGTTACCTGAAATCATAGCCAGCAGAATAGTGCAATGCATTTTAAAAACAATATCTAACTTCTTTTTATCAGATGAGGAATATATTAGCATTCATTGAGCTCCTATGTATCAGATATTGTGCTAAGCACTTTACATCCTTTAATGCTTGCAACAACCCTGTTAGGCAAGGGTTATTCTTTTCATTCCACAGGTAAAGAAACTGAGACTCAGAGCATTTAAGTCAGTTGTCTAAGTTCACATCATAGTAGAACCCAAATCTGTAGCCAGATCTCTCTGAATAGCTGTCTTTTCAACGCACCAGGCCACCTTTTATGAAGAAATAAAGGCTATGCTGACCAAAGCTCTGTTCTCCTGAGTATTACCATGCATTTTAGTTGCAAATAATATTTAATACAGTAATACATAATCAAGGAGTATTTTTTTTGTCAATGACTGCAGGGTAAACCTACCTTAGCTTCATTCTACATTCACCTCAGAATGTGTGTATAGTCAGTTTTCACACTGAATGTCAGCAAATGGAGTGGATATGGTGCTCAAAGAAGGCAAAAAATAAGTGATCATCTTAGATTTACAAGAGTTGCAAAAATTTTATAACCAGCTATGCTGTAAGAATTGTGAGTGTGGTCAAGTAAGACTAGTGAATTCTTCCAGAAGGTAGCAGCTTTTTCCCTTGCTATTACACTGGCTGAGTATCTACTCTTCTTTAGATATAGGATATGCACTAGGGAAGCTGTTTGAAGACTGATTACAAATGTGGCCATGACAATGTGGTTAAGTGATTTCATTAATATGTAGTTTAAAGAACAAAAAGGCCAGTGCCACACCAAGGAACATGGAGGTAGCATTTTCCAATACTGTCTAGAAAGCTGGAGCATGTCCAAATAGTTAGCCTTTGGGTATTTATTTCCTTTGTATGAAAACAGACATTGAAACTTGCTTTGTATTCATTTGTTTTTCAGGTTAGTTATTGCCATTTGCTTTGAACGTGTATAAAGGGATTTTTCAGAAGTAGCATGTGAGCTGTAACAAGGAATCTTATCTGGCAATCTTCCCTGATCTGTCACTGAAGGCTAATCTCACCACAGGAACACTGTCATACATCATAAAGATATATACCCTTTCCAGGCATTTTAAAACATATTTATTTTTCCTTCGTTTTACAAATACTGACTGTCTACAATTGTTGGTTTTAATAATATTACCAGCAAACAGTTAATTGCACTTGCTGTGTGCATGGCATGGTTCTAAGAGCTTTTTATCTCACAAGAACTCTGAGATGAATCTCATTTTCCAGAAGTGGAAACTGTATAAAGCTTAATTTTTTTTCTTAATAGACTAGGAAAAAATAAGGTTAATCAAAATCTCTGCAAGCTTTAAGGTTGATATTTAATTTAAAACAAAACAAAAACAGTTTCAAAGTAGTATATTCCCAACGTTATCTGTAGAGTCATATTTATTGTTCACCTTAATGTTCAGTCATCACTAAAGATTTCTGTAGCTAATCAGAATCAATGGAGCCACTAAATTTATTGTGAAATAAATGACATCCCTATGAAAAATACTCTGTTCTAAATATGACCCAGGACAAACTCTGAATTAGAGCTGTTGCATTTTGTATACTACTGTACTTCCATCTTCATTAACACCTAGCCAGTCTTTCTTCTAACACCTAGTTAGCAACTGGTTACTGTCAAAGACTGCTGTGTTTCAGTTCTGTCCAGAGGAGCTAGATCTGTATTTGTCTACATCTGTTTCCAGAATTGCAAGTAGTAACTTTTAATATAAATAGCTTTTCTTAAGTACAATGTTTTGGGGCCTCATAAAAGCACTCTTCCCTTAGACCTGAATGTAACATCGGTATGGTAGATTCACCTGGGCTTGTGCCAAGGAATTACTGTTCTGAAGCTTCTCAAGGTCTTTGTTATAGATGGTTCTCCCTATAAGCCATATCAATATATCTCTATATTTTCAAAATCCGAAATACTGTTCTATGCTCTCAAATTGATACCAAACATTAAAAATCTGAAAGTCCTCCCAAATTAGGAATATTGAATAGCTCTATCTATAAGTTAGTCCCGAACTAACTTATAGAACTATAAGTTAGTGTCTTGAAGACACTAAGAAGTAGAATATTTTTATGGTTAGGTCTCTGAGCTTGGAAATCAGATGGCCTGAGTCTGATCTGGCCTGTATGGGCAACTGTGGGTTACCATAAATGTAATGTGTCCAGTGATAGATGGGTGCTCACAGGATAGTAGGGAGCCCATGGAGAGGGGTTGTTGGGGTGATCAGACCCAACACCAGGTCGTGGGGGTGATGAAGTCTGGCGGAGTCAAAGGATTGAGAAAAAGACAGTTTGAGAAGTAAAGTGGGACCAGGGGGCCATTGTGATTGTGGAGGCTGTGAAGGCCCTGAGCTCTGGGAGCCCACACTATTTATTGGTAATCCAACAAAGAAATAGGTGGTGAGAATGTGGAGGTCAAAGGGCACGTTGCTTTAAGCACATGATTTACAGCTGGGATGGCTTAGCATTTGCTCTGCTACTTGAGATAATGGAGAGCAAGTTCTTTTAACTCAAAATACAATCAATGCTGGGAGAGCAAGGAGCCAGCAAGTCTAGACAAATTCCAGAGCCACGAGCCCTGGATTCTATCCAAGTCACGAGGGATTTTATGCCCTGGGCTTAGATTATAGTGCGTCAGGGTAGCCTTCCACCTTTAGCACAGAGCTTGGTGTTCCAAAGGCCACAAGGGGTTTTAGACCCTGGACCTCAGACATGTTCCAAGACTCTTTTACATTATGTCAGACATGCAAGCCCTGCCTCAGCTTCTCCCGACACTCAGCTTTACCCAACATGCCCCCCTTCTCTTTTTTGTAAAACAGAAGGTATTATTATTACTATCATTATTACTAGCTATCATTATTTCTAGCATAAAAGGTGGCCTCTTTTAATTGAGCAAGGCACTTTCATGCTCTGCAGCCTTTAATTGCCGGTTGGTGATCCAGCTTCATTTTTCTTAGCCCTTATTCAAACTGGAGTCGCTCTGGTTTGAATACTTCCCACACATCTCCCCTTTCCCTTTTTCAAGAGGACCCTTAATTCTAGCGGTTGCAGAAGGATGAAGGTCCCTCTTCTGTAACTTCTTCATGCTGAATAGGGGTGATGATACTCCTGCCTAACTGTTCAGTTCTCTTGTATTCAGGGTAGAGAGAAGCTCAGTCAGAAAGCATTGGTCCATTAAGCATCTGTAGGTAAAACCCTGGTGCTCCAGCAGTTTTTCAGCTTCCTGTGCGGTTTTCTTGATCTGTTCCCATGTCATGGGGATTGCACCTACATGGTTCATTCATCTCCTGCAAAAACACAAGCATACCCTCACCTCCATATTAGTAAATCTAATGAAACAGAAGCAAAAACATTTTTGGCTGTAGCCAGGAGGCCACTGATAATGAGAAACAGGCCCCTTCTAACAGAAGGCACAGGGAAAGCAAATCAAGGCTTTTCAAACCTTCAATTCACACCGTACAGGTGGGCCCACTAGATGCTGTGGCTCAGGATAGATCTTCAGATGTTTCGTGGGCACCCACACAGGCACCTGATCATCACCTGAAGAGACTCAAGTAAATCCTCTTCCCCATATAGTTATCTTTCCTTTTTCCCAGCTCTTTGTATATGACCATATTTTTTTCTAAGGCCTGCGGCCTTAAGATGAGTTAACGAATGGAATGCTTGTGCCAGCAAAGACCGCAGAAACCAATGCATCCACCCCTTGATTAAGTTTAGTTAAAGGACCAAAAGGTCCTGGAGAGAAAAGAAAGAGCATTTTTATCCTTACCTCCCTCCCCTCCATTCCTTTTATATTTGCCCTTTGAGCCATAGCTAATTTCCATAATTCAGAATGTTCTTGTCTGTCCCTGCAAATCTCTGCTAGTCTTTGCTAGTCTCTACTTTTGTACCTCTTTAGGGCACTGACCTTATATTGCTAGTCTTTGCTTTTGTACCTCTTTAGGGCACTGACCTTATATTGCTAGTCTTCATCTATCCCTATCTGTCCCTGTGGTACCTGTTAGTTCCTGTGAGTTCCTGCAAGTCCCTATCTCTATTTATCTCTATCTCTATTTATCTCCACTTTACGTACTTGTCTCTACTTTACTTACTTACTTGTCTCTACTTTACTTAACTTACTTATCTCTACTTACTTACTTGTCTCTACTTACTTACTTGTCTCAATTTATCTCTGCTTACTTACTTATCTCTACTTACTTACTTATCTCTACATCTTTCCTGGAAACCTTTTTTATGACCCTGGGTAGAGCTCAGAAATCCATGCTTTAAGCTTCAGCAAGAGACAAAACAGGGACCCTGGACCCAGCACCAGATTGAAGGGAATAGGAAGTGCTGTCTCCTGCCTAAAGCAGGAAAACCAGAGTTAGGCCCTTGCAAATTTCCACTCCACATCAGAGTCATCCTCAATTTCCTGGAATAAGTTGTTGATCATGGCAATTCACATATTTAGCAAAACAATGACCATTGTAACATTACAGGCCCCATAAAGAACATAACCAATATTTTCAATGAATTTGTGGTTATAATTGATGACCACTGATTTCACTTCAGAAAGTCCAAATATAGCCCAGAACATTGTCTTAAAACTCTGTTGTGAAGGCTTCATTTTGTTTTCCACCAATGTAGTAGGAGTAGAGGTTGAACATTCCCATCATAAAGGCCACAAACACCACAATGAACACATTCAGCCCATATCATGCCTGTGTGCTCATTAAATCTGTTTTTCTCTAGCAGAGGCAGGTTAACCATGAAACTGAAGCTTCAAGATGGCTTTACTTGTCCTATGCAAAGCAGCCCATGATTTATTTTTTCTGGGGACTACTGCCAACCAGGCCTGTGTGTCAATCTGTAAGCATCCAACAGCAGGTCTACTGTACAAATAGGTCTTTTGTCAGATACTTGATTAACCCAATATAGAGCCTTTCCTGTTGGATTAGTACTACCAAAGCCTCCTGTTCTTTTCACTGTGCTGCTTCCCAGCTTTATGTCAACAACTGAGCAATTCTTTCTCCTGGGGAAGCAGACCATGCAGTTGAGGAACTAATAACTAATTGAATTTCTCTGGTATAATCAGAACCAATCATTCCTGTATGCACAGTGACACCCTTCAAATTTAGACCAGACCTTCTAAGCAATAGACCAACTGTTCCTGAGGGCAAGCGTCCCCTAACTCCCATAGGGACCTTTTTTGGTGGCTCTCCAGGAAGTAGGGAGATGGGAATTGTGCTGCAGAGGTCCACAGCAGCACTGCCTGCCACGGCGGGAGACAATTGTTGCCGTTTGTAAGGGCACTGACTGTGCCAGATATGCCTCGGTTTATTGAGGTGCCCTCTGAATAAACAAACCTCAGATTCCACTGGGTCTTAGCACTACCAATTGCTCCAGGTTTTAATGTTGCAGCTACAGGAGTGGTAAGTTTTATAGCTAATTGATTTTCTCTCCCATTAAGGAGAGAAAGAGGAGGTGGCTATTCACTTAATTCAGCAGGTGGAGCTGACAGGCTAGTAAAACATACTTTTTTTCAGTTTCTCTTTCATTTAATTTCCTCCAGTTTCTGTTCCTCACATTCAGAATCTGAAGTTAGTTGTGTATGCTCATCCTCCTCTTCCTCATCTGAATCTGCCTTATCGTCTGTTTGAAATGGCTCAAGAGCTGCTTTTATTAGTGCCCACATTGACCAAACTGAGACTGGAATTTTTGTATCATCTTTATACGCTTTTTTAAAATCTCTGCCAATTCTCTCCCATTTATCCAACTCCATAGTCCCTTGCTCTGGGAACCATGGGCAAAACTGCTTTACTGCACTAAAGAGTGATAAGAAATTCTAAGTACTAACTTTCACTCCCCCTCTTTGTAATAAATGCCTTAAGAAAAATAAGCAGAATGTCTGCTTTCAATTTGTCCCATTGTTACCCTCGTTCTTCCAAGTACTCAACTTTCCCGCTGAGCTTCTTTTAGACATCCTCGGGTGTCCTTTGACGATGTGTCCTCTGCTTTCATACGCTCTAGCGTTCCTTCACCAGGGTCTTTGTCACCCCATGTTGGGTGCCAGGAATGTTTGTGTGATCAGACCCAACACCAGGTCATGGGGGCAACGAAGTCCGGCGGAGTCTAAGGATTGAGAAAAAGACAGTTTGAGAAGTAAAGTGGGACCAGGGGGCCATTGTGATTGCAGAGGCTGTGAAGGCCCTGAGCTCTGGGAGCCCATGCTATTTATTGGTAATCCAACAAAGAAACAGGTGGTGAGAATGTGGAGGTTGAAAAGGCACATTGCATTAAGCACATGATTTACAGCTGTGATGGTTTAGCATTAGCTCTGCTACTTGAGATAGTGGAGAGCAGGTTCTTTTAACTCAAGATACAATCAATCCTGGGAGAGCAAGGAGCAAAGAGCCAGCAAGTCTAGACACATTCCAGAGCCACGAGCCCTGGATTCTATCCAAGCTACGAGGGATTTTATGCCCTGGCCTTAGATTATGGTGTGTCAGCGTAGCCCTCCACCCTTTAGCACAGAGCTTGGTGTTCCAAAGGCCATGGGGGGTTTTAGACCCTGGATCCTGGACATGTTCCAAGACTCTTTTACATTATGTCAGACATGCAAGCCTTGCCCCAGCTTCTCCCAACACTCATCTTTTCCCAGGAAGGGGTGGGGTAAATGAGGAGAATGAAACAGATAGATAGTTAGAGGATCATTTCAAGAGGATGAGGGATGAGAAATAGAGAAAGAGAGTAGGAAGAATTAAATCCATCAGATATTGGGCTGTGTAGGTGATACTGGGCTGAGGTGCAGGTAAGGATTAAGGTTAACAGAATTTCTAGAAAAAGTAGTTCAGGAATTTTACTGGGATCTAGAAAACATTAAGCACTATGAGAATTGTGCTTATTGAGATATATTGTGATATTGAGAATTTTCTTGGGGAACATGGGCTCTGTGTCTAGAGATATATTTAAGGAAAAACTGGGACCATAGTTTTAAAGAACCAAGTGGTCTGTGGCTTACATTGGAACACAAACCAGAACATTCAGCTGTAGAGAAATTCAAAGGAAGAAAAACTTCACTGGAATCATGATTCTTCCCAATGTATCTTTATAGATTTTTGTTTAAATTCAGAGAAGTTATTTCTTTAAAAGGATGAGTACTTATTTTTAAAAGTGCATATAAATCATTTTTTCCTTTGAGATATAATAATAATCTTACCTACTCTTGCCAAACTCTTGTCATATTTGAACCAATCTATGGCAGGCAGTTTACTGAGTGCCAAATTCAGTTTCCATTTGCTGTTTTAAAGGCATGGTAGACCTGAACTTTCTTGAAAGCAGCAAATAGATACTGTGTTTGGTACTCAGCCGAGTGCAGGTTTAACATGACAGGAGGGTGATGTTTTTTCTGTTGATGTGCCCAAGTTAATCTGAGTTATCTCTCCAAATACATAGGTAGGTATTATCAATTTCTCTGCCTAAATCCATGTAATCTGCAGGGTTGACAACTTCTCTGGTGAGAGCTTTGAAAGTGGATGATTCCATAATACTCTGTCTTATTGTTTGATGAGGGTAATTCACAACATAACCCTCTGTGATGAGGAATAGAGAGGTTAAAATGTGTACTCAAGTTAACTCAATCAATAGAGGACTTTGAAACCCCATCTTTTTCCTCTCTCTAATAATACAAATCCTGTTGTTCTCTCAAAGTTGGTACAAAGCTGATCTATTCTTAGAAGCTAAACCTGACCAACTATACTTAATAATGCCTAACATATCATATATAGATATTATATAATATTAATCCTTCTTATATCTCACAGATCATAGATATAGATATACATCTGTACTAAAGGTGTTCTCATTACTTTATTGTCTCCCCAGGTAGATTTTGAACCATATAGGGTAGAGTTCCTTGTCCTCTAATTCTTTAGTGCTCCCATGCCCTCTTGTTCATTATAGAGCACACTGTAGGGGCCCAAGAGATCCTTGTTTAAAATTTAAGACTGCCTATATCAAATGTTGGCAAAGTGATGGAGCAATTGGAACTCTCATTCACCACTGGTGATAATGTGAAATGGTACATCCACCTTAAGTAACAGTTGAGAAACTAAAAAAAAAAATGTTACCCATGCACCATATGACCCAGCCATTCCATTGCTAGATATTTATCCAAGAGAAATGAAAGCATATGTCCACACAAAAACCTGTAAACAATTGTTCATAGTAGTTGTATTTGTAACAGCCCAGAACTAGAAACTACCCAAAAACCTATCCACTTACAGGTGAATGGATAAGCAATTCTGGTATATCCACACACTCAGCAATAGCAATAAAAAAAAAGGGAAAAAGCTGGGTGCAGTGTCTCACGCCTGTAATCCCAGCACTTTGGGAGGCCGAGGCGGGTGGATCACGAGGTCAAGAGATCGAGACCATCCTGGCCAACATGGTGAAACCCCGTCTCTACTAAAAATACAAAAAAATAGCCAGGTGTGGTGGCGGGCGCCTGTAGTCCCACCTACTCAGGAGGCTGAGGCAGGCGAATGGTGTGAACCTGGGAGATGGAGCTTGAAGTGAGGCGAGATCACGCCACTGCACTCCAGCCTAGGCGACAGAGCAAGACTGTCTCAAAACAATAAAAAAATAAATAAAAGGGAAAAAAATTCATACAATAACATGGATGAATCTCAAAATAATTATTCTAATTGCAGAAGATAGACAACAAATAATATATATTAATAGTATTCCATTTACGTAAAATTCTAGGAAGTGCAAACTAATGTATTTTGACAGCAGTTAATGTAGTTGCCTGGGGATGAGAAAACAGAGCATTAGATAAAGGACAACGATGAAACTTTTTGGGGATATGGAAATGCTCATTATCTTGATTATGGTGATGGATTCATGGGTATATACATATGTCAAATGTCATCAAATTTACACTTTAAATATGTTCAGTTTATTTGTCAATTATACCTCATGAAGCTGGGGGAAAAAGCAAAAAAAATTTGTACAGAAACTATTCTGCATCTCCCTTTAGTATTCCACTGTCTCCATGTTTTCATGGTGAGAAGCTCCTGCTTTGAGACAATCACACAGATGACGCTGAGCAGATTGGGGGCATTCAGGTCAGACAGAGCTTACATGATCCAAGCTCTGCCACTTTATCAGCTGCATAACCCCAGGAAAGTTACTCAGCATCCCTACACCTGTTTTCTCTTCCATAAAATGGAGCTAATTATATGCCAACCTCAGAGGGATGCTTTAAAAACTAATTAGATTAAATGTCTGGCACTTCATAGATGGTAGCTATCACTATTAGATACATGTTATTACATATTGTTAAGCACTTATTTTTTGTGAGACTGGCACAAATTTACTGAGAACTTTCTCAGTTTGATTTTAATTCTGCTGATTCCCAACCAATTACTAATAATAAAGCAACTAACAAAGAATGAGCAGACTATGGCTCAAAATATAGATAATACAAAATCACTTCTGGGCGCTTATCTTCTCCATTCTCCATCACTTGTGCTAAGCTGAGTTGGCAACATATGTTCAAGTGTGTTCAGATGTTCTCAGTAGAGAATAGGATAATACAGAGAAAGTGTATCAGGTGCAAAGAGAGATTTAATAAACTGGTCGAGAAGTACTTGAAAAAGTATGTGTTTTGGTTTTGACAGGTATGGCTTTAAATATGAGCTCAGCCTCTTACTACTTACAGAGGAAGCCCTGGACAGGTTATTAAACATCTATAAACCTGAGTTTATGCATGTGTAAAATGTAGATAAAGGTACACACATCACAAATTTGTTGTGAGAATAATAATCATGTTAATATTAGAAATAATTTTAACGATAAATATGTGCTTAATGGCCTCTACTTCCCTTCTCATTCTGGATGAGGCCAATTGCATAGTTAATAATGATAATCATGTGATTTAACCTGACCTTGACGGCATTTTAAAAACATTGCCTATTGTAATGCCCTGGTACAGCATTCTGTAAACTCATTCTGGAATAATCATGGGTATGCGTGAATGCAGGGAGAAATGAGATTACCTGAACTCCTGAACCCGCTCATTAATATTTCTTTTAAGGGGAGAATACCTGTCATATTTGAAACCTAAGCTGAGGAGGGTAGCTAAAGCAGTATTTTTGTTTAAAAGTAGTGAAGACAGGTGCCAAAACCCAAGCCTCTAATTCCTAAGGCAATTCCAAATTCCTTGACCCCAGCTGTGTCTGTTGTTGAGCTCATCAGGTTTAAAGGGGCCACCTGAGGAGGACTTTTAGGACTCAGAAGTTCTATTAGGGAAGTAGAAGCAGAAAGTGAGCCAGATGGAGCTGGAATGTAGAGGACTCGTCGTGAGCGGGGAGCCCACTTGGTCAGCTCAGTGAAGGCTCTCCCTCAGACGCCAACATCTACATGCGGATATGGAAGGTTTGCCAACACTTACCTTCTTTTTCTTAGCTAACTTTCCACAGAGTCTGAGAAAGGTACATATTGTAACCTAACTTTTCAAAGGAAGAATTAAATTCTAGAGAAACAGGTAGTGAAGAACTTCGCTTTGAAAGAAATTGTTTGTAAAGAGTTAAAACCATGGACTCTGTACTCAGATTACCTGGGTTCAGTTTTTAGCTTTGCCACTTACTGGCTGTGTGGTCTGGTGCCAGTTACTTAATCTTTCTCTTGGTTTCCCTATCTGTGAAATGGTGATAATGATAGTGTCTGCCTCATAGCATTGTTCCCAGCACTGATATGAGTTGAAACAAGGTGGTCACAACAGTATCTGGCTTATAGCAAGTGCTGTATTTGTGTTGGTAAAAGAAGCTGTGGTGTATTGGGATTATCTTGGTTTTCCATAACTACATTTGTCTTAGACTATTTGGATAGTAATGTCTAGTGACGTTGTAGTGGTTTTTAAACACAGATAGTTTGGAAACTGAGGGGGCACTGTGCCTTCTCAGTGTCCCCTCATTGGACAACACTATTTCACTGTTGTTCAATGTTTTCAGCTTAAAGAACATCCTCCTTCCACACTAGAAGGAGGATGACTATTGTATGCCTACGATACTTGAGTTTATCCCTGTAGGAAAGTGAAGAAAACTAGAGCAAAGTAAAATTCAGTGCTAAAAAGAAATAAGCTATCAAGCCATGAAAAGACATGAAAATTAAAGTGCATATTACTAAGTGAAAGAAGTGAATCTCAAGAGCCTAAATATTGTAAGATTTCAACTATATGTCATTCTGGAAAAGCAAAATTATGGAGACAATAAGGAGGTCAGTGGTTACCAGGAGTTGGGGATTGGGGAAGAGATGAATAGGCAGAACACAGAGAATTCTGAGGGAGGTGAAATTACTTTGTATGATACTATAATGATGGATACATGTTATTACCCACATATCCAAACCCAAAGAATATATAAGCCAAGAATGAACCCTAATGTAATCTATGGACTCTGGATGCTTATGATGTGTCAGTGTAAGTTTATCAGTTGCAATACTGCACCACTCTGGTGGGGGATATTGTTACTGGGGAAGGCTCTGCATATGTATGGGCAGTGGGTATATGAGAAATATCTAAACCTTCCTCCCAATTTTGCTGTAAACCTAAATCTGCTTTATTATTAAGTCTTAATAATAAAAGAATGCATTAGTGAATTCCAGTACTTAAGTGGACTTTTTCATCCCTTCATTTTTCCTCAGTCTCTGGAACTTGTCTCTGTCTTGAATAATTTTAAGCAAGGATTATGGTTGTGTTCTCTCAGGTCTAAATTTAGCCACCAGATTCAATCATGCTACAAAGCTGTGCAACTGAATTAGTGTTTAGCTGTGATAGAAATCCCTTGGGAATCAAGTTCCAATTAGGAAACTTAGATAAGCTTGAGTAACAGTCTTAGGAATAAAATGATTTTTTTCTTTCTTTTTCCATATATAGAATTTTCCCCATCAATACCCACTTTGATCCACAAAATTTCCTTTACCACACATGGTCTGTCTCTCTTATATTACACATGCTTGAAATTGATCTTATACTTTAATATTATTTTCTTTTTAATAAGCATAGTTTTCAGCTGCTGGGAAGAATATAGATCTAATTATTTCCCCTGAGTTTATGTACATTATGAAAGAAAATTTGCTGTAATTAAATCATTAAAGCACTATAACTTGTAGTAACATGAGAACGCAGGAAAGTGAACAGGTTGAATTTGGCCTCCAATATCAAATGGAACTAAATTTGAATTCTAGCTTCACCATCTGAAACCTTTTGTCATTTGATAAATTATTTAACTTAAACTCCAATCACTTTAGCTGCAAAAACTGAATAATAGTTGGATCTACTATACATGATATTTACATGGCTAGTTTTAGGCGATCATGATTAAATGATATGACATATACAGGTGCTTAGTGTATTGCCTGGCATCAAGTGAACACAGTAAAGAGTAAGTAACACTGTATCATTGTTGTTCAATGTTTTCAGCTTAAAGAACATCCTCCTTCCACACTAGAAAGAGGATGACTGTTGTATGCCTACTATACTTGAGTTTATCCCTGTAGGAAAGTGAAGAAAACTAGAGCAAAGTAAAAACAGGCACTTAAGCCATATAGCAGAATAGTATGGTGGTTATAAGCTTAGACAACCCAGGTGCAAGTCCCAGCTCCACTCCTTACTACTCTGAGTTTTGGCAAGTTGCTTAACCTTGCTGTGCTTCATTTTCTCCATTTACAAAATTGGATCCGTAATACTATCTATTGGGTAGTCGTGAGAATTAAGTAAGATGATATACACAAGGCACTTGGCGCATAGAACTGGCTCATGGAAAGCATTCAAATATTTGAATTACTAATATTCAAGGACAGTTGAGGAAATCACAGATTGTTAGCCTAACTAAACTCAAGTTTAGATTTGGAGTTCTAGGAAATGTTCAGGAGTTTTGTTCTACTGTATAAAGATGAAGTTGGCATCTGCTAATAGTTTCTGCCAGCCTTCAAGCCAAACTGACTATATCTGTGTGTTAAGCCTTTACTGACTGCTTAAGAATTATAGAAAATATGAAAGTTTAACACTTAAGGAATTTGCTATTTAAAGAGACAAGCCTAAGTCATAGAAAATAATTTGAGGAGAGCATCAGATAATACAGTCCAAGTGTCAAGTGATATATTGTGGTCTGTAAGAACAGGATTTTTTTTTTTTTTTGAGACCATTCCTTGTTCTGTCACCCAGGCTGGAGTGCAGTGGTGTGACCTGGGCTCACTGCAACCTCTGCCTCCTGGGCTCAAGTGATCCTCCTACCTCAGCCTCCCAAGTAGCTTGGACTACAGGCATGCCCCACCATGCCTGGCTAAATTTTTTATTTTTTTGTAGAGATAGTGTTTTGCCACATTGCCCAAGCTGGTCTTGAACTCCTGAGCTCAAGTGATTTGCCCACCTCAGCCTCCCAGAGTGCCGGGATTACAGGCAGGAGCCACCACACATGGCTAGAACAGGAAAAATTGAAAGATGAACTTCAATTGTTCAGTGTATGGCAAATAACTAAAAGATTTTGGAAGGTGGTAGAGATGGATTCTACTTCTAGTCCAACAGAACAGCAAGAGCAAATGTGTGGGACACGGTGGAACTGGGCCTGGTACGGAGCAGCAGATGAATGATAAACCTTGGGAGAATCAGAGGATATCTGTGGGCAAATAGTGGGACGTGGGGCTGGGTATGGCTTATGGGGCAACAGAGGACCTGCAGAGAGTCGAGCTTATGGCTCAACTCACACCCTTCCCCATTTTGCAGATGAGGTGATTGAGGCATGAAAACTATTTCTCTGTGTCATTATTAATTGGAGTCAGAGCTGGTGTTAGGTCCACCTTATTAGTCCTGACTCCCTGGCTAGTGAACTTGCAACTGCATCACAGTGTGGGATTAGAGATTACAAAGAACCTGGACTGGGGAAATTAGCTTGCTGCTATCCCCATGGTAATTTTTCTAATTTTGTAGCTTAATCGCTGCCCTTTTTCTATCCACACCATATTCCCTAAAGCGAAAAAAGCAAAGGTTAATTCATAGGCCACTCAAACAAAGGCCTTATCTAAATCCCCATTTGGGAACATTCAACCCCAAACAAGCCATTTGGTTATTAGAGTGATGGCTTAGAATCAGGTATTGATTCCCAGGCAACGTGTTTTCTATTGTATCACATCACTTGCACTTTTTACTGTGATTTCAAACTCCTCTCTTAAGGGTCTCCTTATTTCTGTCCCTGCCAGGCTAAATGGTCCAGTTTTGTTTTGTTTGGTTTTCCTACGGTGTATTTTTCTCTCTCACTTTTACCAACTACCTCAAGATCAATGACACATTATCCTCTTCCACTTAAATGAGGCTCTCAGGATTGCTCTCCCTGTAGCTCCCTAAGATCTGCTGGTTTGGAGTTTATATTCTGTTGGGTTGTGTTCCTGAATTATGTTGGTCATTAGAGTAGAAAGACGTTTCCCTTCTACTCTGAGTTACCTCCGGCTTAAAGGTTGCAGATCTTATTGCTGCAGGAGTCCTTTCTTGATAAAAGCTGGAGATTTACCTCCTTGGAGATCCCTGTTTGCTGCTACATTCTTGTACATTTTCACCTTTACATTTTTCAGTTTTCCCTTCCTGCCTCTGTCTGCCCAGCAGGCTCTCAATGAAGAAAGGAGCAGCAGGAGAGTCAGGTAAATCCTGTCCATTAACACACCCAAGGTTTATTTTAGATGGCTATGCTGGGAAGAGGAGGCAGGTCAGAAACCGTAGGCAAAATGCAAAAGCAGATAGTGTGTTCCGTGACTGAAGTTACAGGGATTTAGGAAAGTTTCTCTGATACGTTTTTCCCCCTCATCAGCTTTAATCTCTCTCCTTCACCTCTGAGTGGGTGTTAATTACTTCAGAGTTCTTTTCTTACCTCACCTCCTCCTCCTCTTCTTCCCTCCTTTAGTGGAGGGTAAATAGGAATTAGTGGGGAATAATTATCTCATCTTCTCTTTCACCATTTATTACCAGCCCACTTCCCTCTAGAATCTGATATACTACTTGTATGTTGCAAATTGCTCCAGAGTGCCTGGAAGAAACATATAATGTTCACATGAATAGCTTATGCGGTCAGTATTAGAGTTGAGAGAGTAAATACATGTATGTACACTAAATCGGAGATCTCTTTCACTGGATATATTTAAACTGGGGGACAAAAGGCTTGTAGATTCTCTTTTGCTGATCCTATTTGATGCCATTTAACACATGGTTTGTATGACAATGTCCTCTTTTCCTCTGACTTTAAGCTGCTTTTATCACCTTAGTGAAGCTTCCAATTTCTCTACCTTTACTTGTTACTATTGAATCTTTTACTCATAAATCTCTTCCTTTCTGTTCAATTTTTGGTCAATAAGGTCAGCATATGTTTATTCATGAATTGTATTTATTCTGTGTGTTTACTTTTAAGAACTTTATGTACGGAAGCATGTTGTGTTATTATAAGTCATACTAGCATGGTGAGAAATTGAACGTGGTTACCTGGCTTGCAGCATCTGGCTCTTCTGACTTATAGTCAAGTTGATCTTCTTGGGGTAGAATGATGGGTACCTGAAGCTGGGAAGGGTAGTGGGGGCAGTGGACAGGGGTGAGAGATGTGGGAATGGTTAATGGGTCTAAAAATATAGTTACATAGAATGAATAAGATCAGGTATTTGTTAGTACAACAGAGTGATTATTTTATATAATAATTTATTGTACATTTTAAAATATAATTTTACATTTTAAAATGGCTAAAAGTATAATTGGAATGTTTGTAACTAAAAAAATGATAAATGCTTGAGGTGATGGATACCCCATTTACCAGGATGTGGTTATTACACGTTGTATGCTTGTTTCAAAATATCTTATATACCCTGTACATATGTAGACATACTACATACCCATAAAAATTAAAAATGAAAAAGATGTGCTCTTCACTGAGCCTGTTCCTTAAGTCTTAAGAGCATTCAGAGAAGTGGTGTTCTTTGGCAGACTGAGGGGCAGTTCTGGAGAGAAGGAAGTGCACTGGGCTTAGAAATATGTAAAGGCAAGAGAAGCAACTGTTCAGGGAGAGGCACTATGCTGGTTTTCACTGCCAGGTGAAAAAGAAAGTCAGGGAGGAGAAGAGCACAGGTCACAAGGAATGGAAGTTGGAGGGACAAGAAATACATAGTTGGATAGGAATCGATGGAAGAAGGAAAGATTAAAACAGGAGAATGTAAAGTATAGTTAGGGACACTGATAGCCCATACTTTGCCTTGGGTAAATTAGAAAAGGATGCCAGTTCCTCTGGGTGGAGGTGGTCCTGTGTTGGGGTGTACAGCTTCGTGAGCAGAGAGTAGGCTGCTTTTTAGCTTTCATTTGCCTCCTTAGTTGGGTGTCCTTGTGCAAGGCATAGCCTGCATACTGGACATGGCAGCCTGGGGTGAACTGCTCAAGAATATCCTCTAAAGAGCAGTCTACAGCTTCTAGTATGTGGTACCACTAGAAAATAACTAGAGGCTAAAATGTAATGCAAGAAAATAGTTTGCCTCTGAAATAGTCATAATGTTTCTTTCCATAATGTATTAGGGTTTACAAATTTCCTAAACATCCATGCCTGATTTGATTCCCAAAACAGCCCTGACTGTACTGTCATACCCACTGTGTAAATGAACAGACAGGTTCAAGTTATCAGGTTATTCACAAATAATAAGCAAGTGGCCGATGCAGGATTTAAATCCAGATCCTCTGACTAAAATCCTGAGCTTTTCTGCTGTACCAGGCTACCTACACAGCACAGAGATAGCATCGATGAGGCTGTGTGTGTGAATTATCATTATTACCCCTCATGCATATGGGCAACTAAGTTATGCACATCCAGTCATTAAGACAGCTCTGTCATCTTGTACCATCTTGTCTGTCCTAGTATTATTTCCCATAATATGGAAAGTAGGCTATGGGTCAATACAGATCAGAGTTCTTGCCACTGAGGTGATTTTGAGAAATGAATTCCTGTGCCTCAATTTCCTCATTTGCAAACTGAGGTCAGTATTATCTACATCATAACTCACTGGCTTGTTAAAAGTCATGGTCATATTTCTGAATGTTAACATTTATAAGACAGGCTATATTTCACTTACTGCTGTATCCCAAAGATTAGTGTAGTACCTGGCACCAACAGGTGTTTTATATCTATCTATCTGCCTGCTTGTCTATTGAAAGAATTAATGAATTTAAAGGTTTACTGCATGCTGGGTGCTGTACTAAATGCTTTACAAATATTATTTATTTCTCATCACAGAGATGCAGGATAGATAGGACAACCTCCATTTCACAAGTAAGGAAATCAAGATACAAGATTGGTCCTAAATCTTATGCTCTTAGCTACCAGAATTATTAAATTTGAACCCCAGCCCTGGCTCTCACTAGCTGTGTGACCTCTGTTGAGTTACTTCACTCATTAGCACCAGGCACTCTGATATGTGTGCCACATCTGTTGCCTGATTTAATGCTCACAAAGTGCCTGTGAAGCAGGAATTATCACCCTCCAGTGACAGAGGATGACTAAGGCTCAGAGAAGATAATACCTTACCAGGATGATAAAGCTAAAAAGTGGCAGAACTAGGATTTGAACCTGTGTATTTCCATTTCAAATTTCATGTTTTTTCCCCAGGGTTTGGTAGGATTAAAGTTGACTCTTCATGAAATGTGACCACTTCTGTGTGCCTATCCTACCAATGGGACATAGTTGTCTTTTCATATTAAGGGAAGAGGTCTCCAGCAACTGTTTTTACCATTAGAACTCATTATAACTATTTACTTAATGCTTTCTAAGTATCATTTTTTTCATGTTGTCTAAGTATCATGTTTAATGATACCAATGTCTTCAAAGGGTGAAGAAATATAGATTATTTCACAACAAATACATGAAAAAAAAACTACCCATTGCAAAATTAATTAGTTTGCCATGAGGCCTCTTGGGATGAATACATTATAAAGACAGAACTGTGTTCACCACCATATGGAATGTTAGCCACTTTGGCTGCGCCTCTACATCCTTGGAAAGAAGCCAGTGGCATTGTCTCCCATGCGGTGAGACCTGTGAGAGTGTGCATTGCCAGAGCTAATGAGGGGTGTGTGCTTAAAGGAGAAAATGTCACCACCCAAAGACATGAAGGAGAGAGAGAATCTGACTAGTTGGTCCTCAGAAACTGGGCTTACAGTTCTTTACAAACTAAAGCTTTTCATATTTGTTTACTCTATAGACATTTAAAAAGCTATCATGATTTTTAGATTTAGACTGGAAGAAAAGATAAATTCTCATTGAGTATAGGTTCCTTTTCCCCTTCAGGATTGACAGTGTGGTGAGGAGGTAGTCAGATAAGATGCCAGGGAGTGATTGCAAAAAGAATGAATCGACAGTGTGTTACACTCAAATTGAGAGTGTTGCCATTATATTGCCATTTTACTTCCAGGTAAGCATGGAAATGTAAACCAAGAGTTATATATAATTGGCCAATGGAGTGACTATATTTTAGAAGTTAATACATTTTTAGGTTCACAGCAAAATGGAGCCAAAAGTACAGAGTTATCATATACTCCTTATTCCCACACATGCACAGTCTCCCTAGAATGGCCATTTTGAACTAAAAGATGAAAGTAGATGTGGTTTCAGAACTAAGGACTGAGGGCCTGGAATCTAGACCTGAATCTGGAATCAGCTAGAGTCTATGATCTGAAACAGCTGGAGAGCCTTTCCCTATTCTGTACCTCAACTGCTCACAGGAACAAGTGGAATAAGCATCTGCCACAAATTGCCATTCGATGGAGTTAATAAGACAAAGCTTGTGAATCTATAACCTCCTCAAATGAGAGGGATAGTATGAGTACAAAAGGAACTAGAAAGGTATCATTACTTCCCTATCCACCTACATCCCTCTCTACTCCCCACTTTGTGTCACCAAAAGGACTAAGGTTTTAAACATTCTCATAAAAATTGCTTTTGAAGAATAGATTCTGTTTTTTCTAGGGAAACAGAAAATAAGGTGAATAAGTAGAGAAAGTGGATTGCTGAAATGTACAGAAGCCAATTTGAGTTTTATTCATTCAGCAAATGTTTGTAGAGGTCTACTGTGTACTAGACTCTGGTTGTTACTGAGCAGAAAAGTTGTAGGTATTTGAAAAGCCAGCAAGGATAAAATAGCCTTGAAATCGTTAGGGTGGAAATCGGTATGCAAAATGTTCTTCATATCTTTACACGTATTGGCAAGTGGCTAAAAGGCAGCAGAAGATGCCTTACGTTTTTACAAAACAGGCTGTCTCCACAAGGACTTTCCCCCATTTAAATAGCTCTTCATCATCTCATCTGTTGTGGAAGACTAAATAGCCCCTTCTAGAAGGTACAATATGCAGCTATTTAATGACACATAATAACCTAACAGAAGCCAGTAAAATTGTTATACCCTTAGATAGTGTGGAGCAGAATAGGGATAAAAAGATAATAACCAATTACTTACAATGGAACTTGGCCAATGAGTTGTGGGGAGGATGATTTTTGTGAAAAGCATAATAAGACTTACTGAACTCCCACAGTTTGGTGTGTATGTACTCTGTCTAGTCTAGTAGGAAGGACAGTACAGTACTAGGATGATAAACTAACTGGCAATAGCAAGATGCAAGGCAGATGTGAGAAAGAGGTGGAAAGTGTGCTCTGTGAGATAAGCGACCTCAAGGTCTGCCAGAAGGCAACACTCTCTGCTTAGAGGTCTCATGATGATGACGCCTAGCAGGAATCCTGTGACAAAAGGATCCGAATATGGAAGTTTCTGTTTGGAAGAAAATATGACATTTCTGTATAATTTAACTCTATGTAGGAGTGTCATATTCTTTCAATATGAATTCCTTGACTAGAAAATAAACATTAATTACCAACCGTGAAGAACATGGCATGTTATACATTGTGAAGAGAGATCAGTCTCCTAGGAGAATCTATGGAAATCTCCTCTGGCAAAAGGGAAGATTCCACACTGTGAAAGTATTGGCTATGTTTCATGTTATTTAATCATTAGCATCATAAATTCTTAATGACTAGGAGGGTTGATATAACAAAAATAGCTGTAATTTATTGAGCATCCTCGTTATGCCAGTCACTGGGGTAAGCATTTGATGTGAATTATCTTATTTAATTCTGGGCACGATCTATGAAGTAGACATTATTACCAATGGAGGATTAGAGAGATTAAGTACTTTGCCAAAAACCACACTGCAAATGGCAAATCTTACTACTCCCTGTTAGATGAAATTGAACTGAAGTAAAACTCAAGTTCTTAACAATAATGGTGAATTTTTCCTAACATATGATAAGCAGGAGGATTCTATGTTGTATATGGATGAGTATTTAAAAACATTTATTGAACAAGGCTTAGAAAAGAATCCAACCCTTAGTTCTTAGAATGAGACTAAGTAAAAATAGTAGATTGAAAGTTAATTATCTAGCAATAGGATGGACATGGGAAAGACGTAAAGAAGTATGTGAGTAACTGAGATTGGAAAACTGCATGAAAACACACATCTTTACCTGAACCTCCGTCACTGACACCTTCTATTCCCACACTCCCTAGAATTTCAGTCCCTATATCCACCCAGTGATTCCCCACCCCAGATCAACCCCATTGTTGACTTTCTCTACTGCTGCTCCTTTGTTGCCTAACAATATAGAAAATAAAATGCATAACCCTGCTAATTGGCCAGATCACTGCAGATTTCTCATTCTTGGGCCCAATTGGTTCTCCCTGTTCAGCCAATCTACTTTTTATCTTCCAGTGTCTAGTCCAAACCATTACCAGTTTTCTGAATCCAAATCTATCTGATCATCTCTCTCACTAGGTGATCCCAACTTTCTCCTTCACCAAGAGAATATCTCATTAGACTTTATCTTACATGTAAGTGAAAGGAGGTACAGAAAGTTTAAGTAACTTGCCCAAAGTCTTACTGCTAATAATAGTAGAGCAGAGATTCAAACTTTGTCATTCTAGCTATAGACTTTGCCCTATTAACCATTATACCATTCTGCCTCTCTCTGGTCATACATTTTGAGTGACTTAATACAAAAAATGAGTAGATGGGTTAAAGACCCATCAGAACTTGAAACTTGTGCTGTTTCTGGCCTATAGTAGCCAGGACAGCTAGGCTTGTACTTAAATGTGGCCTGACCCCACATGCTTTTGTTTGGACTTGGTTTTATTTGGATGGCCCTTTCATCAGGGATAAGAGGAACTCCTACGAGGAATTTCCTCTGTGATTAGTCTTTGCTTTGTCCCAGCTTGCTGTGTGGCCAGAATAGATGCTCCCCGTATCTTCGCCTGCTTCAGCTAGTTCTTCTACATTCCCTATTTAACTTGAGGACATTCACCCAGATAAGAATTCAGGAATAGTCCCAGAATCCTTCCAGGTCTCTCCTAAAACTCACTCTCTTGAATCTGTCTCCTTTTTTCATTTTCCACTGTTGTTTCTTTAATTCCTTCATTTGGCTGCTGCTGCTTTTTTTTTCCCCTTGGCATTAAGGATTCAGTGATGAACAGGACAGACAAAGCCCCTGTCCTCAAGGAGTTCCCATTATAGTGGGCAGAGGATGCAACTGAGATCAGATTGTGATAAGTACTATGACAAGTGTTATGAGTGAGAAAAGCAAACTCCAGAGAGTGGGGTATAGTGGGTTGGCCTGAGGGTATTAAAAGCTTCTGTGAGGTAGATGTTCATAAATTTATTGTGCAACTAGAGATCCAAGTTCAGTGATTTTTTTTTTTCTCTTGTAACATTTGCCTGGTTGGATGAGGCACGGAGAAAGTGGATGGATCAATGGCTTTCTTCATTTCCTCGTCATCTCTTATTTGGCCCCATTACATCCAGTTCCTGCCTGTCTACAACTCCATATTAATGCCAGCATGTTCTTTGTAAAACACAGTTGTGTCATATTGTTGCTCTAACTAGAAATTTCTAATGCCCTCTATTTATAGCATTGGTTTCCAGACTTAAGTCTATCAAATCATCTAGAGAGATTACCAGACAGACTAGAGGCTGCCTCTTCATCCTTCATGTCTTTGTCAACTTCTTCTTCTGTAGGTCTGGGGTGGTGCTATGGGCTGCATTGTGTCTTTCCTCCAGTTCATATATCGAAGCCCTAACACTTCATCTCTCAGAATGTGACTCTGTTTTAAGCCAGGGCCTCTAAAGAACTAAAGAGCTTCTGCACAGCGAAATAAACTACCATTAGAGTGAACAGGCAACCTACAGAATGGGAGAAAATTTTTACAATCTACCCATCTGACAAAGGGCTAATATCCAGAATCTACAAAGAACTTAAACAAATTTACAAGAAAAAAATCAAACGACCCCATCAAAAAGTGGGCGAAGGATATGAACAGACACTTCTCTGAAGAAGACATTTACGCAGCCAACAGACACATGAAAAAATGCTCATCATCACTGGCCATCAGAGAAATGCAAATCAAAACCACAATGAGATACCATCTCACACCAGTTAGAATGGCGATCATTAAAAAGTCAGGAAACAACAGATGCTGGAGAGGATGTGGAGAAATAGGAACACTTTTACACTGTTGGTGGAACTGTAAACTAGTTCAACCATTGTGGAAGACAGTGTGGTGATTCCTCATGGATGTAGAACTAGAAATAACATTTGACCCAGCCATCTCATTACTGGGTATATACCCAAAGGATTATAAATCACGCTGCTATAAAGACACATGCACACGTATGTTTATTGTGGCACTATTCACAATAGCAAAGACTTGGTCTATCAATGATAGACTGGATTAAGAAAATGTGGCACACATATACCATGGAATACTATGCAGTCATAAAAAAGGATGAGTTCACGTCCTTTGTAGGGACATGGATGAAGCTGGAAACCATTATTCTCAGCAAACTATCATAAGGACAGAAAACCAAACACCGCATGTTCTCACTCATAGGTGGGAATTGAACAAAGAGAACACCTGGATACAGGGTGGGGAACATCACACACCGGGGCCTGTTGGGGGTGGGGAGCGGGGAGGGATAGCATTAGGAGAAATCCCTAATGTAAATGACGAATTAATGGGTGCAGCACACCAACATGGCACATGTATACATATGTAACAAACCTGCATGTAGTGCACATGTGCCCTAGAACTTAAAGTATAATAATAAAGAAGTAATTAAGTTAAATGGGGTCATTGGAGTCAGCCCTAATCCAATGATGGGTGTCCTTGTAAGAAGAGATTAGGACACAGAGACACACAGACTAAGGGGTGACCATGTGAAGACACAGTGAGAAAGCAGCCATCTCAACCCAAGGAGAGAGGTCTCAGAAAAAAACCAAACCTATTGACACATTAACCTTGGACTTCCAGCCTCTAGAACTATGAGAAGATTAATTTCTGTTCTTGAGGCCATCCAGTCTGTGACATTTTGTGATGGCAGCCCTAGCAGGCAAATACAGGTGGGATCTGAGAATCTGCATTTCTAACATTTTCAGTTGATGTTGATGGTCTAGAGACCACACTTTGAAAACTACTGGTCTGAAGAACATTTTGCTAAATCCTTCATAAACTGGTCTATGTCCAATTTCATTTCCCCACCTTCTCATTCACTTATATAATAGTGTTCTAACCAACCACACTACTCACAGCACTTTCAACATGCCAAATACTTTTTCATCTGTTACCTCTGCTCATGCTGTTTCTCTTGCCTTAATACTTATTCCCCTTTCTCACCATGGTGAGAAAGTCCAGACCTATCATATAGTGTTTGTCTTTCTGTGCCTGGCTTATTTCAGTTAACATAATGTCCTCCAGTTTCATTCATGTTGCTGTAACTCACAGAAGCAGAAAGGAAAATGGTGGATACCAGGGGCTGAGGGGACTGAGGAGATGTTAGTCAAAGGATACCAAATTTCAGACAGGAAGAATCAGTTAAAAAGAGCTATTGCACATCATGGGGACTGCAGTTAATAGCAATGTATTATATACTTGAAAATAGCTAAGAGAGTAGATTTAAGTGTTCTCACCACAAACAAATGATAAGTATTTAAGGTAGTTCATGTGTTAATTAGCTTGATTTAGCCAGTTCATAATGTATACAAATTTTAAACATCATATTATACACAATAAATCTATACAATTTTTTTTTGAGACGGAGTTTTGCTCTTGTCACTGAGACTGGAGTGCAATGGCATGATCTTGGCTCACTGCAACCTCCGCCTCCCAGGTTCAAGTGATTCTCCTGCCTCCTCCTCCTGAGTAGCTGGGATTCCAAGCACCTGCCACCACGCCCAGCTAATTTTTGTGTTTTTAGTAGAGACGGGTTTCACCATGTTGGCCAGGCTAGTCTCGAACTCCTGACCTCAGGTGATCCATCTGCCTCAGCCTCCCAAAGTGCTGGGATTACAAATGCAAGCCATCATGACTGGCAATATATATGATTTGTCAGTTAAAAAATTAAAAAATAAGAATAAGAAAAGAAATGTCAGGCCAGATGTGGTGGCTCATGCCTACCATCCCAGCGCTTTGGGAGGTCAAGACAGAAGGATGGCTTGAGACCAGCCTGGGCAACATGGCAAGACCCTATTTCTACCAAAAAAAAAAAAAAAAAATGAAAATAGCCAAATATGCTGGCAAGTGCCTGTGGTCCCAGCTGCTCAGGAGGCTGAGGCAGGAGGACCCCTTGAGCCCAGGAGGTTGAAGCTGTATTGAGCCATGATGGCACCACTGCATTCTAGCTTGGGTGATAGAGCAACAGCCTGTCTCAAAAGAAAAAAAATATTCCTTAAACATAACCTCTGAGAATCCTTCCCTCATTCTACTATTTAGATAAAATTAATTACTACTTCCCTCTGTCTCCCATAGTGCTTCATATCTCTTGGCATTTCTCATAGTGTAGCATAATTTTTTATGTGTCTCTTGCTTTGAGGAACTATAGTTTGTTTGCTACTGCATCCCCGATGACTTGCACAGGGCCTGGCACATAACAGATGCTCAATAAATGTTTGTTGAAAAAATGACTAGTTAGGCAGTTAGATTCTTAGTGTGGTTGGAGAAGAGCCTTCAGAACAGTCTTGAATGAAAAAGGGGTAATACACTTCATCTCCTCTTATAAGGATACCTGATATTAAGCCTCCCTAGATGGAGGCCCATGTAGTGGAAAGTATAGGTCTCCTAGAACACTCCAAAAACTACCAGCCAGTCTAATTTAAGAGACTTTCTGTTAACTATGCAGAAAGAAAGGCAGGATGTTTCAAAATCATGTGTCCCATGTCCTGTCCTTCTTTTGGATTACCCGGGAATTTTAGAAACCAGTGAAGTACCATTATTGAAAGCACAGCTAAACAAACTGGCTGAACAAGCAAGTTCCAAGCACGAAGTGCAGAAGGAATGAGTTCCCTTACTCCCCAGTAAGGGCCTAAGAAGCAATTAACAAAATGTTCTCTGCCTCTAATCTCCCTCTCACCCCCAGCCAGGACACAGTACATTGCCTGAGTTCTCAGTGATGACACAGGCCATCATCCTAGGGTCAAGAAGCTTAAAATTCTGCCAGAAACACATGACATTAGAATGTGAAAAATACAGAGATGCTTTATATTGCGATATTGATAATTTTGCAATTGTAAGCCTTGTTCTGATTCCACGTGGCATTAAGAATTTTAAGAAACTTCTGTTTCTGATTTATGCTGCTTAATTAAAAAGAACTAGGATGTTGTTAAGGCTGTGTTGTTGGGTGAAATGTCGCTATGACATTTTTAAAACAGTGGAGTCACGGCTCAGCTACCTGATAACGTTAAAACTAAACAGAAACTATATGTGCAGGCTGAGAGTAACTTCCCTACAAAAGAGGTCCTGTGCTTGGAATTACCTATTGGCTGGTTTGATGGCCTCATTTGAACTTCACTCACAAGTTGTTCTCTGTGGCTCAGAGCAGAATTCTACCTCGTGCTTAGTGGTCTAGTATATTTCCAATGTCTGCACATTTATAATTTGTAAGGAATGTCTTGTATTTGTTCACAGTAAGGGCTCCTTGTGAGAATTACCCATTTTCTGTCTTTGGGTGGGTTTTACAAAAATAGCCACTTTTAGTCTTATGAAGGCACCTATTTCTTCATAATATTAGGGGATATTTTGAATTACTCTGGGAATCATGATGATGAATTTTCATACTAACTGCCTTTTTGGCTCATCCTGTCTTTTTAGTAATACTTGCTCAGTGGGGAAGGAGCAGAATAGCATAAAGCATAGAGACCGATGAATTAAGAAGACGGGAGAGCAAAATTTAGGAGAAAAAGAGACCCAGGAAATGGACAAAGAGAAATAAATTCCAGGGAAGGAGAAGGAAAGAGGGGGACATATGTGGAGAAGAGAGAAGACGTAGTTTCAGGAATTGGAGGTGACTGTGCAGGAAACCAGCAGCTCATACAGCAGGTATTTTGGGAGTGTGGGGGGAAGGGCCCCAGGCACCCATTTGCTGTTTACACATCTCATGCTCTTTGCTATTCACTTTACTCTCATTATCCTGTCAAATCCTCCGAAGAACCCTGTGGGATATTAACATCCTGGTTCAGTGAAGTTAAGTCACTTGCCTAATGTCACTTAGTAAGTGGCAGAAATGGAATGCCCAGGAGTGTTCTGACCTCAAAGCCCATTCTTATGGTCAAGTCCAAGGGGCTTTCTTTTTCCTGGCTCAGGGCATTCTGCAAACCATGGTCATAACTGAAGTCAAATTTGGATGCCCATTCACTTGAGGGTGGATATTAGGAGAGGGTCCTACATGTGTGCAGTTAGGCTGTCATCAACCTGCCTCTCTGCTCCAAGTGGACGGAATGGAGTTTCAATTGCCTAGGGTGCCTTGCCTTAGTATAACTGTGAGGTGGGTAAATGAGTTGAGTCTTCCATACTCTCTCCTCTGGAATGTACCTCCCTTGGACCCTCATACAGTAAATGCCCTTGTGACCAATCTTCTTTACTTCAGTCCCATATTTCACTGGCTGGGGACTCTGCCCTCTTTTAAAGGAAACTTAAGTGCCACTGGTTATCTGACTTCAAACCCTGCCCGGTCATTTGCCTTGCAATGAAACTACATATACAACTCCTGCAAAAAGCTCTTAAAGAGTAAGAAAATTGCTAGCAGCTCCCAAGTAATCAGACCTGGAATGTAGATCCTCCACCACTTTTCTCTCATCTCATTTTCAGCCATTTGTTGGAACTGTTTCTTCAGCTCTCTTGTTGCCTCATGGAATTAATCTCCAACATTCTCTCCAGCTGTATTCCCTACTCCCATTATGTGAGGTTAAGCCCTTTCTGTCTTTTGTTAAGCCCCTCCATTAGCATTGTAAATAGCCCCATGTCAGGGTCTCTTCATTGTTCCTCTTAAAGATTTTTTGCCAGATTATTCTTACCCAAAACACAATGTAGGTCTTGCTGTATGTTCACTTGGTCACACCAATTGCAGAATAAAACTCCCACACCTTAGTTTGGCTTTTGAAGCCCTCCACCCAGTCCCACAGAGACTCATCCCACCTTACCTTCTAGTACTCTCCAATCCAGTGTTCCCTATTCCAGGGCATATTTAGAATTTTTCCCATTTCTTTGCCTTTATTCCCACAATTCCGTCTGCTTGGAAGTCATTCTCCCTTCATCCCCACATGTCCAAATCTGTCTGTAATTCCAATGCCAGATATCCCCAAAACCTTTTATTAGCACTCTCTTCCCCATCCTTCTGGCTGAAGTGATGATCTCCCACTATCTTTTATTTAAAACTCTTTCAAGACAATTGCATTTTTAAATTTGTATTTGAAATATCTAGGTAATAAGCACCAGTGTTATGTATTCTTGCAGAAATTTGCTCCACAGAATTATGAACAGTTGACACGTTCTTCCTGTGTTTTCCCCACATGTGTGAGATAGTGGGAAAACACTGTTATCAGAGCTATGTTTAAAAGGAATAATTACCATAAAACTCTATACATTACACATCCAGAATTAAGTAAAGCATAGACACTGGAATATAACAGGTACTCTACAGATATTTGTGAATGAATGAATACATAAGCAAATGAAAATTCCTCAAGAGTTCAGTCTTTAAAAATCCCTAACCTTACAATCATTACCATGTTAAACACTTCTGGGACTTATCTATGAGGACTCCAGAACTCTATAAGACCCCACAGTCTTATGGTTATCGGGGGTACCCATGTGTGCACCAGATATTCCATCTGGGACCTGTGGGCTTTACCTTCCCTAAAGTAAGTTCCATACCTGGCTTACACTAGAGGTGGCTAGACAATGAGAATAGTTTGGCTGGTTATAAAATTCTCAGGTCATGTTTTCATTTCTTTAGAATTTTATCCATGGTTTTTCATTGTATTCTACAGTCTATTCTAATTCATTACGTTGTCATATATCTTCTATATGTTGCTAGAAAGGAGTCAGAAGCCAATAGAAGTTTTTATTCTCCTTGCTCTTTATAAGTGGGCATCCATAGAATATTTTTTATCTTTGGAGTTCAGCAACATCATCAATACTATGTCAGGCTTTCCTAGGGAAAGATATGTCTTTTTTATCTTCAGTTTCAAATCTTTATTCCAGGCTTATTTTCTTCTTTTAAATCTTTTAATATTTGTATTCCATTTTTTCTGTTCTCTTTTTCAGGAACACCAATTATAGGTGTGTAGGATTCCCTTTGACTTCTACATCTATCATCTTTATAAAAATGTTAATATCTTCGTTTTTCTTAACTTGTTTTATGTCATTTCTTTAAGCCTCTTCACTGTATCCACAGCTGTTTTTCAGTTGTGTTTATTTTATATATGTGCTTTTAATGGGACTTTATCATGCTTTTATTTTTATTTTCCATTTCTCTGCCAACTTACTCTTTTTATCATCTTCTATAATCTCATAGTAATCACCTATTTGAAATTCTGTATCTCTTCTTTAAGCTCATTCTACAGCTATATGAAATATTTTTGTGTCTTTTGAGATTTATTTGTAGAATCCTTCCTTTTTATCTGATGGTTCTTTTTCTGTTAAATGATCTTAATCCAATTTTTCTTCTTTTCTTCTTTATTGGAGGAATTCAGTTTTGTTTAATTTTGCTTGCTTTAGTTTTGTAGTTTTATGCATAGGTCTCAAGTTGGTGCCTTTTTGTTTATTAGTTATTCTTGATTTGGGCTGCTAGCTTCTGAAGAATATATTTATGTACAATGAAAGAGAACAGTTAAATTGGAGCATTCTGCAACTTTAGTTGAGCCTTCTTATGTCAAAAGCCTTCTCACAAAATCTGTTATGTTTTGTGTTTGTTATTTATTTTAATCTTAGGCATCTGATTTCAATTTTTGTCACTCAAAAATCTGGTGTGGTTTTTAGCAAAACCTCTAAGTCATAGTTGGTTAGTGTCATGATCTGGGGATGGCTGCCTCTTGTCTCTCTGTCATCCTGTTCTCCTCTGACTGTCTCTATCAACTAGGTGGTTATGCGGTGGATCATAGGAAGAGCCACTCGGCTTGTTTCCACTTCAGATCCAGCTCCCTGCTGATCTGTCAGGATATGACCTGCTTCTTTATGATATGTTTGTGAACTCAGATCTCATTGCCTCTAACAAAATGACATTTCAACATGCCTTTAAGGGCAGTGGCTCTCGTTCTCGGTGCAGTCTGCTTTCTACTTGAGTTCTGAGGCATACATGTTCACTCTTACATATACACATTTTACATGATTGGTCTGCTGTAGTTTATACTTGGGACAGCATTGCCATTTCTATTTAAATGAATTTTTTCCTGTAATAGTCTTAAACATGTGGTATTTGAGAGAACAGAATAAAATGGAAACACCTTTACATCTTTAAGCAAAGGTCCAGATGGCATGTTTTTAAAGGTCAAATCAGATGAAAAGAAAGCCATGTGTGGATTATAGAAAATAGTCTATAAACTAGATAACACCAAAGTAATGGGAATTTGTTGCCCTTATGAGTTGGCTGTGTAATTCTTTGGAACCCTTCTCAGATGAAATAATGGTGGAAAAACAACTTTAAAATGTAGGAAACTAAGTATAAGGTGGTAATATTCTCTATAGAAAATAATTTATGTAAGTCAAATTTATCCTAAGAAACTTAGTTGCTGGAATACCCAAAGGCCTTTTTATTTATTTGGCTTCAAATATTTGTACTTATTATCAAAGGAAAATATATTAGTGTCCTTAAGCAGAGGCAAATAGCTATTGCATAAATGTGAGATAAAGCCATGTTGCTTTGATGTGTTCTAGAATCATACAGAATAGCAGAGCAGCATCCTAAGCAATGAGCTAATTGCCAGGTTCTCTGACATTCTGGATGAATGTTTGAGCATGTACCAATGAAGCCTCCTGTGTGGCAGTATTACTTGTCACCCTCCCCTACCATTGGTTTACAAAGGGATGGCAACTATGTAGCACTTGCGCTGCCACTTCTCTCTCTCCCAGTCCATAAATGAGTGCTAATTCATGATCTTACCCTTAGGTCGAACATGGCCTCAGAATCTTTCCCAGTACAAAACTTAAAGCACTACTATAAATCCATTCAAGTTGGTGTGACAGAAGCAATCGGTTTGCCACTCTTTGTCTAACTTGCCATTGGACTTCCTGATTTGATGATCTTCCAAAAATAATGATGAGCCAGTAGAAATGTGTGAAATTATACATAGAAAATGAGATTGTCTAGTTCTAGATCCTTGAGGAATCGCCACACTGTCTTCCACAATGGTTGAACTAGTTTACAGTCCCACCAACAGTGTAAAAGTGTTCCTATTTCTCCACATCCTCTCCAGCACCTGTTGTTTCCTGACTTTTTAATGATCGCCATTCTAACTGGTGTGAGATGCTATCTCACTGTGGTTTTGATTTGCATTTCTCTGATGGCCAGTGATAATGAGCATTTTTTCATGTGTCTGTTGGCTGCATAAATGCCTTATTTTGAGAAGTGTCTGTTCATATCCTTTGCCCACTTTTCGCTGGAGTTGTTTGTTTTGTTCCTGTAAATGTGTTTAAGTTCTCTGTAGATTCTGGATATTAGCCCTTTGTCAGATGAGTAGATTGCAGAAATTTTCTCCCATTCTGTAGATTGCCTGTTCACTCTGATGATAGTTTATTTTGCTGTGCAGAAGCTCTTGAGTTTAATTAGATCCCATTTGTCAATTTTGGCTTTTGTTGCCGTTGCTTTTGGTGTTTTAGACATGAAGTCCTTGCCCATGCCTATGTCCTGAATGGTATTGCCTAGGTTTTCTTCTAGGGTTTTTATGGCTTTAGGTCTAAAATTTAAGTCTTTAATTCATCTTGAATTAATTTTTGTATATGGTGTAAGGAAGGGATCCAGTTTCAGCTTTCTGCATATGGCTAGCCAGTTTTCCCAGCATCATTTATTAGATAGGGAATCCTTTCCCCATTTCTTGTTTTTGTCAGGTGTGTCAAAGGTCAGATGGTGGTAGATGTGTGGTATTATTTCTGAGGGCTCTGTTCTGTTCCATTGGTCTGTATCTCTGTTTTGGTACCAGTACCATGCTGTTTTGGTTACTGTAGCCTTGTAGTATAGTTTGAAGTCAGGTAGCGTGTTGCCTCCAGCTTTGTTCTTTTGGCTTAGGATTGACTTGGCAATGCGGGCTCTTTTTTGGTTCCATGTGAACTTTAAAGTAGTTTTTTCCAATTCTGTGAAGAAAGTCATTGGTAGCTTGATGGGGATGGCATTGAATCTATAAATTACTTTGGGCAGAATGGCCATTTTCACGATATTGATTCTTCCTACCCACGAGCAGGGAATGTTCTTCCATTTGTTTGTGTCCTCTTTTATTTCCTTGAGCAGTGGTTTGTAGTTCTCCTTGAAGAGGTCCTTCACATCCCTTGTAAGTTGGATTCCTCAGTAGTTTATTCTCTTTGAAGCAATTGTGAATGGGAGTTCACTCATGATTTGGCTCTCTGTCTGTTACTGGTGTGTAAGAATGCTTGTGATTTTTGCACATTGATTTTGTATCCTGAGACTGCTGAAGTTGCTTATCAGCTTAAGGAGATTTTGGGTGGAGAGGATGGGGTTTTCTAAATATATAATCATGTCATCTGCAAACAGGGACAATTTGACTTCCTCTTTTCCTAATTGAATACCTTTATTTCTTTCTCCTGCCTGATTGCCCTGGCCAGAACTTCCAACACTATGTTGAATAGGAGTGGTGAGAGAGGGCATCCCTGTCTTGTGCCAGTTTTCAAAGGGAATGCTTCCAGTTTTTGCCCATTCAGTATGATATTGGCTGTGGGTTTGTCATAAATAGCTCTTATTATTTTGAGATATGTCCCATCAATACCTAATTTATTTATTTATTGAGACAGAGTCTCGCTCTGTTTCCCATGCTGGAGCGCAGTGGCACAATGTTGGCTCACTGCAAGCTCCGACTCCCGGGTTCACACCATTCTTCTGCCTCAGCCTCCTGAGTAGCTGGGACTACAGGTGCCTGCCACCATGCCTGGCTATTTTTTTTGTATTTTTTTTTTTTTAGTAGAGACGGGGTTTCACCGTGTTAGCCAGGATGGTCTTGATCTCCTGACCTCGTGATCCGCCCACCTCGGCCTCCCAAAGTGCTGGGACTACAGGCGTGAGCCACCGTGCCTGGCCCATCAATACCTAATTTATTGAGAGTTTTTAGCATGAAGGGCTGTTGAATTTTGTCAAAGGCCTTTTCTGCATCTATTGAGATGATCATGTGCTTTTGGTCTTTGGTTCTGTTTATATGCTGGATTACATTGACTGATTTGTGTATGTTGAACCAGCTTTGCATCCCTGGGATGAAGCCCACTTGATCTTGGTGGATAAGCTTTTTGATGTGCTGCTGGATTTGGTTTGCCAGTATTTTATTGAGGATTTTTGCATTGATGTTCATCAGGGATATTGGTCTAAAATTCTCTTTTTTTGTTGTGTCTCTGCCAGGCTTTGGTATCAGGATGATCCTGGCCTCATAAAATGAGTTAGGGAGGATTCCCTCTTTTTCTATTGATTGGAATAGTTTCAGAAGGAATGGTACCAGCTCCTCCTTGTACCTCTGGTAGAATTCAGCTGTGAATCCATCTGGTCCTGGACTTTTTTTGGTTGGTAGACTATTAATTATTGTCTCAATTTCAGACCTGTTATTGGTCTTTTCAGGGATTCAGCTTCTTCCTGGTTTAGTCTTGGGAGGGTGTATGTGTCGAGGAATTTATCCATTTCATCTAGATTTTCTAGTTTATTTGCTTAGAGGTATTCATAATATTCTCTGATGGTAGTCTGTATTTCTGTGGGATCAGTGGTGATATCCCCTCAAGTATCTAGAACTAGAAATATCATTTGACCCAGCCATCCCATTACTGGGTATATACTCAAAGGATTATGAATCGTGCTGCTATAAAGACACATGCACACGTATGTTTATTGCAGCACTGTTCACAATAGCAAAGACTTGGAACCAACCCAAATGTCCATCAATGATAGACTGGATTAAGAAAATGTGGCACATATACACCATGGAATACTATGCAGCCATAAAAAGGATGAGTTCATGTCCTTTGTAGGAACATGGATGAAGCTGGAAACCATCATTCTCAGCAAACTATCGCAAGGACAAAAAACCAAACACCGCATGTTCTCACTCATAGGTGGGAATTGAACAAAGAGAACACTTGGACACTGGAAGGGGAACATCACACACTGGGGCCTCTCATGGGGTGGGGGGAGGGGGGAGGGATAGCATTAGGAGATATACGTAATGTAAATGATGAGTTAATGGGTGTAGCACACCAACATGGCACATGTATACATACGTAACAAACCTGCATGTTGTGCACATGTACACTAAAACTTAAAGTATAATAAAAAAAAAAGAAAATGAGATTGTCTAACTGTCAGGAAACAGTCTATTTGCTTGTTTTCCAGGCCATTTGAGTAGGGTGACTGACATTCAATTTAAATATTTATTGATGCCTTCTCTGGGCCAGTCCTGCTGAACTGGAGAAAGGAGATTGTTTTAGTCTATGGTGTGCTGTTATAACAATACCAGAGAGTGGGTAATTTATAAAGAACAGAGATTTATTTCTTGCAGTTACAGAGGTTGGGAAGTCCAAAGTTGAGAGGCTTGCATCTGGTGAGAGCCTTCTTGCTGTGTCATCGCATGAGGAAGGGCAAGCAAGCATATATATGCAAGAGATTAAGGAGAGTGAACTCATCCTTTTACCAGGAACCCGCACCCGTGACAACAGCATTAATCCATTCACAAGGGCAGAGCCCCCATGACCTAATCACCTCTTAAAGGCCCTACCTCTCAACATTGTTGCATTGGGGACTAAATTTCTTTTCTCTCTCTCTCTCTTTTTTTTTTTTTAGATGGAGTTTTGCTCTTGTTGCCCAGGCTGGAGTGCAGTGGTGCAGTCTTGGCTCACTGCAACCTCCAGCTCCCAGATTCAAGTGATTCTCCTGCCTCAGCCTCCCAAGTAGCTGGGATTACAGGCATGCGCCACCACACCTAGCTAATTTTTGTATTTTTAGTAGAGATGGGGTTTCTCCATGTTGGTCAGTCTAGTCTCTAACTCCCGACCTCAAGTGATCTGCCTGCCTCAGCCTCCCAAAGTGCTGGGATTACAGGCATGAGCCACTGGCTGGGCCGGGGGATTAAATTTCTAATACATAGATTTTGGGGACACATTCAAGCAAGAGCAAATATGAATATAATATAGGCCTTGTCTTTAAGGAGTCAGCCAATTAGTCAGCTAGTATTTATCCAACACTTCTTCTGGCAGATATAATACTTAGCACTGGGGTTATAGCAGAGAACAAAAGAGATACTGACCTTGTCCTCATGAAATGAATAGTCTAAAAGGAAGATGGGAATTCAGCATATATAATGGTTAACTAACAAATACATAAAGTCCTACAAAGTAGTAGACTGTATACCACTACTTTCATTTGACCATGGGTTCCGAGTTTGTTGTGGGTGGAGAGGTTTTCTAGCTAATGTTAGAGATAGCTGCAGAAGGCCAGGCATGGTGGCTCACACCTGTAATCCCAGTAATTTGAGAGGCCAAGGCAGATGGATCACTTGAGCTCAAGAGTTCAAGACCAGCCTGGGCAACATGGCAAACCCCCATCTCTACAGAAAATACAAAAATCAACCAGGTATGGTGGTGTCTGCCTGTGGTCCCAACTATTTGGGGGTGCTGAGGCAAGATAATTGCTTGAGTCTGGGAGGCAGAAGTTGCAGTGAGCCAAGTTTGCACCATTGCACTCCAGCCTGGGTGATGGGAGTCAAACCCTGTCTCCAAAAAAAAAAAAAAAAAAAAAGAAAGAAAGAAAGAAAAAAAAGAAATAGCTGCAGAAGCAAACTAATAGAATTTGGTATGCTACATACGGTAAAATAGTTATATACAAAGAATAGAAAAAATATGAGACATAATAATTCTGTCTTATAGGGTTTGGGAATCAGAGAAAGGGAATACCTGAGGGAGGTTTTAATGAATGAATGGTATGTCAATGGGAAGAGGAGAGGGGAAGGCTTTCCAGATGGAGGAAATAGCTTGAGTTCAAAAACTAAAGACAGCTATTGCCTAGTATTTGCAGAGAAATATAAATGATTCTGAATGGCAAGCATTAGGCAAGGTTAAGATAATAAAGGTCCCTATATGACATATAAAGAAGCTTAAACTTTGTCTTTATATACTGGTGAGCCTGACATTGACATGGTCCCACTTATTACAGAAGGATCATTTGGTAGCAGTATTGAGGAAGGATTAATGGGTGGAATAAAGCCTGGAGATAAGGAACATAAATAGGTTATTATACCATGTGAAGGAGCTAATGAGGAATTATAATGACCTATTTCAATCACAGATTTGAAATGACAGATTCTAAATACCTAAGCCAGCTTACACTTTTTGGTCCCCACTTCACCTGATTTTTCTATGTTAATGAAGATGGAAAGGAGAGAACAAATTTGGGAAATATTCAGGAGGTAAAATTCACTTGCCAAGTGATTGATTGGTCATGATCTTTAAGAGGTAGGATGGGTGATTAGGCATATCAAGGTTTCACTAAGTAAGATGCAGATTCTATGAGATTTGAGCTCAAAATCTATGAGTTTAGTCTTGGATATATGAACTGTAGACATCTATAAACATTCAGTAAATATGTCCGGTTGGGTGGTGCCTATATGTGTCTAAATTTAAAAGAGTCATCAATCCTGAATATGTGGATTTGAGCATTATTAGCATATTGTGATGGTTAAAACCATGTAGATAAATGAAATTACCCAGGATAAGCATATATGGTGAAAAGAAAAGTCTGAGAAGAAACCCCTGGGGAATATCGGTACTTAAATAGTTTGCAGAAGAATAGACTCCAGCAAGGCAGCCTACAAAGAAATAATCAGAAATGTAAGAGGCAAATCAAGAGAGTGGTGTCACAGAAGTCAAGGTAAATGAAACTTATAGGGGCCGGGCATGGTGACTCATGCCTGTAATCTCTGCACTTTGGGAGGCTAAGGTGGGTGGATCACTTGAGGCTGGGAGTTGAGACCAGCTTGGCCAACATGGTAAAACACCATCTCTATTAAAAAAAAATTAAAAATTAGCTGGGCCTGGTTGTATATGCCTGTAGTCCCAGCTACTGGGGAGGCTGAGGCACAAGAATCACTTGAACCTGGGAGGTGGAGGTTGCAGTGAGCCAAGATTGCACCATTGCACTCCAGCCTGGGTGACAGATGGAAACTCTGTCTCAAAAGATAAAATAAGTGAATAAAAAATAAAATAAATAAAAAAACAAGCTTAAGGAAGATGGTTTCTACAGTGTTACAAACTACAGTGAAATGGAGTAAACTAGGGGCAGAAAAGTGTTAGTTGGGTTTGGCACTTAAAAGTTTGTTGTTATTTAGTAAAAAAAGCTTCAATAGAGAAATGGTAAAGAAGCCAGATTGCAATTAGTAAAGATGGGAAAATTACAACCTCAAAGCACTATTTAGATGGAATGAAAAGGAAAATGGAGGGTAGAGTTAGGAAGATATCTGGAAAGAGATGAGAGAGGGTTTCATCACAGTGAGGAAAGATTGTTTCCTAGGAAGAAGAAGAGGTCAATGGAGGAGAGAGTGAGATGGAAGGTGATAGGACCAGAATTCAAATGAAGAAGCTGGCTTTCATCTCAGTTTGGATCTTTCCAGAAACATGCCATGAGACAAAAAAGCAGATACAAATAGTTTCTTTGGTAAGCCGAGGAAATATCAGTAGTGGAGTGGGACAGTGAGAAAGGGAAGGAAGACAGCTGACAAAGGATAAACTGTCAAGTCAGCTATCATCATGAGTCGCTGGAACTTAACTCAGTGGGAAAGTCTGTAACAGTGTAAAATGCATGCCTCAGAATTTTCTCAACCAAAAGGTGGGAAAGCTGAGGCATTTTTACTCCAAATACCTTCAAACGTTGGTTGAGGGTTGCTTCCTGGAGTTTTACTTCTCTGGCACTTCTAGCCTGCATTGCAGGTGACTGAGCAATTATCCTCTGCTTCAGGAAAATAGCTCCAGATAAATAGAAGTTGCAGATACTGCACAGCTGGGAGTTGGGCCAGATCAACTGAAGCAGTAAGGCTCAGGGGTACATGCTAGCACCAATTGCTTCTCCTAAGTTTGGAGGACTGGCTTCAGCTGAGTGAATGGAGGCATGGCATTGAATGGACTCTCCATTAACCTTTCATGTAATAATTTTGTGTGTGCTTATTGCTAAATTCATAAACTTTCAATTTTGAGAGTCAAACATGTTTAATTAGAAATCTATAGGATAAAAACCTACCCCCATCTTACATATGCAATTGATAATATAATCCTGATGATGCCTGGCTCCAGTTTCAATAGAAGTAGAAGCTCTTATTTGATTTAAAATAATCAGTGAATTAATCTAGGTATTTAGAAATTAAAGTGGGGAAACAAGCCCCCAGTCACAGAATTCATATCCTTAGGAAAAGTCATCATCCTATAGTTGGTGTCTATTACTACAGAGATATAAATATAGGCATTGGCCTCAAATTTATACTATTTTGAGTTGATTTGAAAGATTTGAGTGGTAGTTTAGGCTCTGGAAATATGTTTCCCTTCTGAATTTTTTTCTTTGAAATTTGGGTAAAAATGATTTTTCTCCTGCATAATGATATGAATAACACTATTTACTCTTAAATGTGTTAATCTACTTACTAAATATCAAAGAAATGATTGAAATGTTTCAAGGGGACATGGAGCTGAAAGGTGGAATGAGAGACTTCCGTTTGGGCTATAAGCCTTGTGGTTTTATTTGACCTTTTAAACTCAGCACTTACACTACTTTATTTCTAAATGTTCTATGAAGGAATAAGAGTTTGTAGAACAAAAGAGAAGGGCTAAAAGAGAGACCAGTTAGAAAGAGGTGGAGAGTCAGAACTGGAGTGCAAAAGCACAAAGATTCCAGGCATACAAGGATGATAAATCACTTCCACAAATGAGCGCAAAGGGATATTGTGTACAATGCTTCCATGAAGAAAGAGGGCACTGATAGGTACCCACCTGGTTGAAATGAACAACTACTGTATTCCAAGCTTTGTGTTGACAGTTTTAACCTTTGCATGTCATTTTCCAGGGAGTGAGACCTTTAGAGCTGGATGCTTAAGTCTGTAACTTAAGTTTCTTCCACAAAGAGGATTTATTTTGCTTTTTGTGACATGATGGTGCTAGAACAAAATGTACTAAGAAAAATTTGATGGCAGTGATAGCATTATCTTGAGGGATAAAGAAGTGGAGTGAGAATGCTAAGTGTAGATGAAAAGGCCTCTTCAAAACCCATTTGGATTTGTAAAGTGCATGCCTGGAGACAGCTTGAGCCTCTAGAAATGAGAAGAACAATGGGAGAATGGTTTTATTCCCATCTGAATAATTGCAAGTTGACCTTCCTCCAACTAGAAAAGTGGGGTTGTGTCTGAGGACTTGGTTGGAGAATAATTTTTCCTTAGTTGCTTCATGATACTGAACAGGTCACTTAGCCTTTCTCCTCCTTACTTTCTTTCACAGTAAAATGAGATGGTAATCTCCACTTCTAAGGGTTGTTGTGGAGACCACATGAAGACATTGATGTAACTCTGCCTGGCAGATGATGTAAAGTGCCCATTTGTGCCTTTTGCTTTCTTTGCTTTTGAGGCATTTGGCACTTTTATTATTCTTTGATCAAAATGAGAGCTTTCACATGGGAAATCAATTTTTGGGGGATTTGGGTCTTCAAACTTTCATCCAAAAATAAAGACTATATATTCCGTGACATAGTATGAGTAACAAATGAGAGAATTTGAAATGCAGCCTTAAAGGGTGTTAAAATAATTTTGTTTAACATGGACTGAAGATCAGCACAGAGCTCAGGTTTGATGGAGAGCATAAAATTAGACAAATTCCTGGATAAAAGACTTATAATCTAATTAGCCATCAAGATCCCATAAATATTTATGCAAAAATCGTATGACTGGAAAGAATTTCAAGTTAAATGCAAATATGATTTTGAAAAAAGAAAGCCCTTAACTTCCTTGTTCACTCTAACCTCTTATATGCATTCAACATGTCATCGAAATATTAAAAAAAGAAAAATCTTAAATCACTTTAGTGTGACAAGTTGTCTATAGCCGGATGGTTGACTGGATATAAAACATTATACCCCTTCAGCTATTAAAGCTGTCCTTGAAAAAGAATATCTCTCAGTTTCCTTCAAGATCACTTGTGCTTCAATGAATAGCATTAAACCGCTTTGATTTTGATAATGTCATTTCATCAGCACAGTTTTTTGCCCTTGACCTATAAGAGATACAAGTGGGAGGTTCCTAAAAGTCATTTCAACATTGTCAGCTGAATATAAGTATGATTTTCTGAGCTGACTACAAATGGAACAAGCTGTAAGAGTATTTTGTTCACTGCAGGTGTTCAAATATAGGCTCAATATATAGTAGTTATCATGTTGCCTCAGTTACTCTAAGATGTTCTGGCTCTAGGAAACCAAAGATGACGAGAAGAATATGGACACACATTAAGTTGAGGAAAGAATTGGGTTATGGGGTATCTATCTCTCTACAAACTTGCAAATAAGCACAACTGTTCACTGATGTTAAGCCAGAGAATATTTGGAACTCATTAGGTTTTACTTCCTTGTATTTTAGTGTGTGTCTCCACATACTTGAAAACCACATTAACAAACTAGATTTGTACCCTTGCACTAAGGCTTACTTGTCTGATTTAGGGCAAGTTATGGACCTACTCTAGGCCTCAGTTTCCTTGTCTGTAAAATGGGGTTATTAATAAGAGTGCCTGCCTTATAAGATTATTATGGGGGTTCATTAAGGCAATCCTGGAGAGTTTCACTCTGCCTACCTCACAGGAAGCATTCAAAATATAATCTTTTTATTAAAATAAAGACAAAAGAGTGTCTTATAAGGGGATTTTCCCATACCATAGGACCATTTGTCTCTCAAAAAAAGTATTACCTTTTTCAAACTGTAAAAGTTCTTTTCTGAAACTCTAAGCATAGGTTGGGTACTTGGACTAGATTCATGGGATATGTTTTTACCCCAGACTTCATTATTTTAAGTATTTAATTCATAGCATTCATTTAGACTAAATATTTCAATATTTTTTTCTCTCAAAATACTGATAGCCTGGCTATCCTAGGTAAGCATTGTATAGGATAAGGAGCTAGCACGGTAAAGTAGGAAGCCCTCTGACTTTAGAGTGCCGTGGCCATAGTTTATGTTCTAGCTTTGACACTTGTTAGCCAGGTAGTCACCTGAGGCAAGTTACTTAACCTCTCTGAGCCTCAGTATCCACAATTGTTAAAAAAAAAAAAAAGATAATATTATTTTTAAAGGACTGGAAGAAAAGCATAATGAGTTATTTCATGTTATATCATATGGTACTGGGTATCCAGCAAACAATCTTTCCAAAGATTGCAATTTTCACTTTTCAGCCAGCCAGGTATGTCTGCATGATTAAACACAGCCTGAGAGTGCTTTGTCCCCACCCCACAAGCAGCAGGAATATCTTCTGTCTTGCCTTTGTCCTAACACAGAATTGATGTAAGTTTCTGGATTGTTCCCAGGCTGTGTCAGTACAAAGGCCCTAAATAAATGCTTTGGTTAGAAACAGTTTTGGCTCATTCACAAAGCAGTGACAAAAGTGACCAACTTCCAAAGGCAAAGCAAATGATTCTGTGACTGGCTTTATTTGCTCAGGGAAGAATTTGTGAATTTTGTGCCAACAGCATATGTACACATTGCTGTAGCTATCTCTTCCTCCTTTTTAGAGCCATTGAGGCTTCTTAGCTTGATGGGCTAAACTAGAGAGAATTCGAGTTTTTGTGTTATTAAGTTTGGGACATTCTAGCTTCAATCTTACCATTGCTTTTGATTTTTGTTTTCTGGGTCTTGTAAAAGCTTTGAGGGTTTGACCTACCATTTTGTTAGCATTGACCCATCACGGAGCTCTACATGCTGGGTTTTTATGTTCTTGGTTGTCCAGATGGGTTTGTTCTGTGCTGTGGGGAATGCAGTTAATTAAGGCCTTCAGGCAGAACCTACAAGTGCTTTTTAGGTTTTTCTTGCTGATTGGTTCATCATTCTCCTTAACTTATTATCCACATTTCTCCTCCAATCTCAAGAATGAACTTCTCATAAAGCCCCACCGGCTGACATATAGCCTGCAAAGCACTGCCTGTTTGACTGCCTTGTGGTTTCTCTGTGAGGAAAAATAATTGTCGAAATTATTCATATTTAAATCTTAAGCTTTTCTGAAAATAGATGTGAACAAATTAGGTGTCCTGGGAATTAACCTAAGCTAAGTAATTAATGATCTTTTTATCTGTGTGAATAAGGAGAATGTTTAATAAGTATTGCTAATGTTCTCTAAAAGCAGTCCCTTCTTATTGAACAGAATAGTATCATAGTTTGTTCCTATTTGGTGTCTGAACACTCCACGACAAAAATAGAGAACTGAACTACAAATGCTGAGGGTAAGAACTACAAATGCTGAGGGTAAGAACTTTCATTCAACAAATGTTTATGGAACACTTGGCATGTGCTAAACAGTACACACATCAAAAAATTTACCCCTCATAATACAAAGGAGTAGACAGAAATGCAGCAAGTTTCAGGGACTAGCTTGCTTACTTGATTCCAGTTGTCATCTGGCTTCAAATCCACACCTGTCAGACTAAAACTAGTGCTGAAGTCTGTTGAACAGGTGCTTTTTCATCTAGGTGCAAAGTTACATACATGTGCTCAGGTGATGGGGTTGGTGCTGATTTGGAGAGGAAATCTTGCTCTTCTGGTGGCATTCTAGTGACATCCGGCTGAAGCACAGGTTGTTTAATGAACCCATCTAGATTTTACTCTGTAGGTCACAAGCCAGCAAGTACTAAGACAAAAAAAAGGACAAATGGATGAGAACACTGTAACAGGTGTTAACTTCATCCAAAGTTTATTTATAGATAGTGGCACGGTCAGTTAGCAGATGTAAATCTTTTGGGGGGGCTAATTTATGTTAACCATTCCAGGTTGGGTGACAAAATAATATCAAATCCCTGGAATAATTTTTACCACCCTGTGAGGTGTGGAGCTTCAATGACATAGGAAAGAAGAGCAGGTCTCCTAAATATCGTCATTGAATGTATCTTGGTAGGAATTTGTGGGTATTTGTTTGAAATTATGAAAAACTCAGGACATGTATCAGGGAGTCACCATCCCTGCATGCTTATTTTATGCTAAAATGAACCAATGTATCAGACAGTAAACTAACCATCATCCAGAAAGCTAATGACCAGGTATGTGGGTTAAGCCCTTTACTTCCTTTTTTTTAAATTATTTTTACAGAGAAGAAGTTGATGTGGTGACTAAGTGTTCAAACTTGGGGCCAGACACTTGGGTATAAATTCCAGCTCTAATACTTATCAGCTGTGTGAACCTGGGCACTCTGCTTAAACTCTCTGTAAATGTTTCTCATCTATAAAATGCAGTTTATAATTGGATCTATTTCATAGAGTTGTTATGAGTTTTAAATAAATGAATGCTATTTAAATTTTGCTATTTTCTTTTCTTTTCTTTTTTTTTTTTTCTGAGACAGTGTCTTGCTCTGTCGCTCAGGCTGGAGTGCAGAGGCACGATCTTGGCTCATTGCAACCTCTGCCTCCCAGGTTCGGGTGATTCTTGTGCTTCAGCCTCTAGAGTAGCTGGGATTACGGGTGCACACCACCATGGACAGCTAATTTTTTTAATGTATTTTTAGTAGAGACAGGGTTTTGCCATGTTGGCTAGACTGGTCTCGAACTCCTGGCCTCAAGTGATCTACCTGCCTCGGCCTCCCAAAGTGCCAGGATTACAGTCGCAAGCCACTGCACCTGGCCAAAATTTTGCTGTTTTTTTTCATTCCCGTGATCCTTACATTTTGATAGCATTATAAATTTTTTCCCTAAAAATTAAAGGGGAAAGATGAAGTAGAAGTAAAACTAAAAGTGTTTGTTTTTCAGGGTGTTTGTTTGTTTGTTTAGTAATTTTAGCACAAGAACCAGGTGAACCAGGTTGTTTGACTTCATTCATTCATTTTCTTTCCAACATGAATATTATGATTGACTATGCATTAATCAGAGTCTTTTGCAGATATGAGAGGGGAGGGGGTTGGAGGTGAGAGGAGAGGGAGTTGGAGCTAAAGGCAAACTTTTAGTCACCCCTTCCACAGTTCTCCTTGGAACAATCGTAAATATCTGCCATGTGTTGTTCACTTAGGTAACATTTAAAGCACCAGGCCAGATGCTGTGAGAGACATAAAGCATTATGTAAGTCAGAGATCCCTGTTGATTATAATCAGGATTGAAAGATAACACATATGTCTATAGGAAGTTAAATAAGAACTTTGGAGTCTGACTGAAAGAAAATGAGTGCACAAAAAGCAAATCAGACTGGGCTTAAGAGGGTTTAAGAGATGGTGATTTTCTCACTCTGTCATTGACATAATGTTGCCTGTGGTTAAGCACGAAATCAATGGCTGAGATGGTAAGTGTTGCATGGCTTATTGGTAGATCAAAGCATGACTGTTATGAATGATTGACTGAGTTGAATACAGTCATCTGAGAAGGCTTCATGGCAGGGGTAGAAACTGAACTATGCCTTGAAGGATATGTAGGAGTTGGAAAAGCAAAGAGAAAATAAAGGATGCAAATACTTGTAGGAACTCCAATTTGTTTGGGGAATAAATTTACAATAGGATATTATTTTTGTCATTTTTCTTGCAGCATGGTATTTTTAAAAGAGATATTTAAAGGCAATTCTCAATAATAATCTGCTCCATGCTGTGCCTGATTCTGGGCCAGATGAAGGTTGAGAGGAAAAATTGGGATTCATGGAAAAGGACAGAAGAGGAGGCTGCAGGTGATTTAACAATAGAGTAAGCAGAAAGTTCTTTGTCATCTGTTCATCACCACTGGAGACAAAACAGAAAAGATGACTGTTTTAGTGTGAGGGATTTAAATAAATAAGGAAAAGCATTTTGACATCCCCATGACTCTCACTTTAATCAATTATTAAATCTTATCTATTTGCTATTTTAATAATTTTGAATTCACTCTCCTGCCTGTCTGAAATGCCAAATTCTTAAGCCACCATCTCCTTTTGTCTAGATGATCATAGGAGTCTTCGGCCACTTTACCATATTCATTCTTCTCTCACTCTCTGCCAAATGAACAATCTTTAATAAAAGCAAATCAGATCATGGAAGTTTTCTTCCTTAAAACCTTTCTATAATTTACTATTCTTAGAATTAATTCCAAACTTTATAGCAAGACCTACTTGTTCCTGCATCCCAGGCCCTGCCTCTTCTCCAGCATCACTGCACGTCCACATTGCCTGGGCCCTTTATGTTTCAACCATATGGCCGTGGTTTTTTTTCACTTCAGGAACTTCCTATATAGGATTCCCTTTGACAGGAATATATTTCTCACCCTCACTTAATTCCTATACATCCAAAGATCAGTTTTTCATGGGACAGTTTCCTGGCCCCCTAGCCTATGTTAAATACCGCATTATAGGCTCTGGGGAGACATCGTTTTTATCCCACTTGTAATGACTTGTTTAATATCATCTTTCCAAAAGACACTTAGTGTACAACTGTTGAACAAAATAGGCAAGAAGTTGTGAAACTTAGTAATACATTCAGACATTAAAGAAAGACAATTAGTAATTCAGACATTAAAGAAAGACAATTTGTCCAATGATAAGTGACATCGATGAAAGAGAAGATACAGAGTAAGTATCAGGAATTTTAGATAAGGAAAGCAGTTTGCAGTATTAAAAAGAATGGTCAGTATGTCTCTATATCATACAAAAATTAACTCCAGAAATATTATAGTGTTAAATGTAAATCTTAAAATATAAAGCAATGGCCTCAGTAAAGCCTGGTGTGGACTAGTAAGTCATTAATAAATGTTTGTCAAGGAGATTAATGAGCAAAAATTTCAGATCATACTCATTTAAAATTCTAAAGTTGGTTTAGCCCCACTATGCACACAGTGCTCCCCTGACTGCGTAGCAGTGCAGGCAAACCATGGCCAACCCCAGCATTGTCTCAGTTCTGCTATGAAATCTCCTGTGGTAAAAGAGAATTTCTCTCACTTCTTTTTCCTGTCTCCTGTGAGATTCCAACAAGGTCTAACAGAGCTAATTAGTTACCCTGTCGCTAGGGCATAGGGACTTCCTGGCAGTGATTTCTGAGGGTGCCAGAAGATCTATTGAAAAAAAAAAAAAAAACACTGTTCCAGAGAGTAGACATGCAGATAGATTTGGTATTTCAACTCCTGGATTGCTGTCTCTGTCTTTATGTCTCTCGGTGTGTGTGTGTGTGTGTGTGTGTGTGTGTGTGTGTGTGTGTCTTTCTCTCTCTCTCTCACACACACACACATACACACACACACACACACACTTTCTCTTCCTGTCTCCCCTTCTGAAAAACAAACAGCTTGGCTCCTGGGCAGCTTAGCTTTAAATTGGAAAATGCAGCCTTGCTTGGCAGAACAACAGTATCACAGCCTCCCCACTGCTCAGAACAGCTTGTGACATACATCCCTGCAGGCAAGACCATAAAGGGCTGTCTAATATACTGGAACCACCACCTCCAAAAATACTTTCCTGTACAGCTTTTTCAGAATTCTAGTCTCTCAGGGCATTTCCTTTCTTCTCCTGCAATTTGTTACTCTGGAATTGATCCTTGGCTTCTTTCCTCCCTGCTTAATTAATGATCCTCATCTCTTGAGTCATTAGAAACCACTGTGGCCCTGGAGATGAGAACTAGTGCAGACATCAAAGGGCAATGGAGAGGAATCAGTGACAGGACAGGAGTTCTGAAAGGGCACTTTGGTCCCTCTGACTTTAATAACATAACAAATGTCCCTTTTAAGCCACTTCAGAGAATCCCAGATTCAAACAAGAGCTTCTATCTACCTCTCCTCCCTGCTCATCTCAAAAATACAAAATCTAGATTGAAGCCAGCTCTTGCATCATTCTTGTATTAGTCTGTTCTCACACTGCTGATAAAGACATATCTGAGACTGAGTAATTTATAAAGGAAAGAGGTTTAATTGACTCACAGTTCCACATGGCTGGAGAGGTCTCAAAATCAAAGGCAAAGGAGGAGCAAAGTCTTACACAGTGGCAGGTAAGAGAGCTTGTGTAGGGAAATTCCCCTTTGTAAAACCATAAGATCTCCTGAGACTTATTCACTATCATAAGAATAGCATGGGAAAGACCTGCCCCTATGATTCAATTACGTCCCACCAGATCCCTCCTACAACACATGGGAATTATGGAAGCTACAATTCAGGATGAGATTTGGGTGGGGACACAGCCAAACCATATCAATTCTAATTCTGTCCTAAAGGATAGTGGCACCTAATAAGTCTCCCTCTGCCATCCCTCTTGCATTCTCTTAGCCATAGTTAATAAAGGGACTCTAACATCCTTAACTTGCATTCAACAACCCAGTCACTATCTGCAGTGCTACTTTCCTTGGTGTCTTTTATGTGCTGGCCAAACTTGCCTAACCCTAATTTCATACCATAGATATGATATGGGATGTTCTGTTCCATACTTTGCTCATTCCATTCCTTATGACTAGAAATCCTTCTCCTTCCTCCTGGGCCTCTTCATAACTAACCTGTCCTCACAGACCTAGCTCAACTATCATCCATGGAAAAATTCTACTTCCTATGAATTCTCATTCTCTATGTTATTTTTTAAAATAGATTCTGCATTTCCATCTGCATATACTCTCTTTCTAGGTTGTAAGCTACCTGCTGTCAATGACTGCTTGACTCACATTTGCATGACTCAAAGCCTAAGATAAGGCCTTGAACCCAGAAGGTACTTAACACATTATTGGATGGGTGGGTGAATGGATAAAGTGGAACCTTTTTCTCAATGCTCGTCTTCAAAATAATTTAGTTAAAGGCATTATGACATGAGGAACACTAAAGGCTTTCTAAAATATGGCCCATTTTACAATAGACTTCAACATAATGCAAGTTCATCTTAAGCCTTATGTATATTTTTTATTGAAAGAGTGTAAGAGACCACAACAAAACAATCCTTGACCTTTTATGTAGTCAGTCCTACAACCTGAATCATAATGGCAATGTAATAGGGGTTTCATTATTAATTTTGTTGTTGATAACTTCAGTTACTTTTTTATATTTGAAATTTTATAACCAAAGCAAGAAGAGAATACAAATACGTAAGTATGCTTAAGAATCATATTCATTACTTTTAAGTTGAGAGCAATGACAACATATTCTTGGCCTATTTTCTCTCCAGACTTTAAACCAAGTACTTTTGCTGGGGACTTTCCCAATGTCTCATCCCTTTTGGGGTGTGTGTGTCTGTGTGTCTGTGTGCTTCAGTTCTTTCTCCACTGCTTTAAGGTCTCAGTTTAACTGAGCATCCAAAACTCATTTTCTTTCAGCCTTTGATTTTATTGAAGGAAACATTAACTCACTACTTTCTAATTAAGCAAATCTCTTTGTGCCCTTCTACTTTTTGTGGCCATTTTTTTTTCTAGTGGAAAAATAGAGGTAAACAATAAGAACAATTTTAAAAAGGAATTAGGGCAATGCCCTTCTAGTCTGGGGATGGTGTTTTCCTACTTAGCAGTTCTCCTCGTGGTGGACCGTAAGATAATTCAGGATACTCCCTTCCCATTAGTTTATTTTGACATTATCATGCTTTCTGCTTTCTTCTCAACTGCTTCAGGTCACCTGCTGAGTTTTGTGGTTGGCATCATTCTTGTTCTTATTGTTGTCTTAAAAAGACTAGTCTCTAACAGAGATGGCTTACTTTTTTAGATGAACTCAGACTTTTAAAAAAAAATTGCTTTTTGTTACATGTTATCAAATGTTATCAAGGTATATATCTTTTTAAAAAATAATCTAAAGTGATTTTTTTCATAATAATGAAGTCCCAGAGGTAGAATTCAATAGAATCATCTCTCTTTTCAATTTTATATTTGAAAATGTGTTCTGGTTTACATTTTTATGTCTAGGACTTCCAAATACTTTATTTTTCACTATTCTTTGGGTCCAAGGTAGAGTGAGTTCTATCTAGTTGCAGTAGGCAGAGATGATTGACCTGAGACTTAGATTAAGACTATATTGTTGAGTTCTTTCAAGACCTGCTGAGGATTGACCCAAGACCTAAGAGTCAATCAGGAGCTTAAAAAAACTGATCTAGGGCCAATGTAGAATCAAATGATGGAGCTGAGTAGCTGAGGGACGTTGTTTATATTAACAATTACTGTGTACCTACTATGTGCCAAGCACTGTATGAAGTGCTAAGGTTACTGTGCTGACCAAGACAAACATGGTCCTGGCTCATGGAGCAAAGTTGACAGTCCAGAAAAATAAAGATATGAAACAATTACACAATACATACTATATTAATCTGTTCTCACACTGCTAATAAAGATATAACCAAGATGGGTAATTTGTAAAGGAAAGAGGTTTAATGGAGTCACAGTTCCACATGGCTGGGGAGGCCTCACAATCATGGCAGAAATTAAAGAGGAAGCAAGACACATCTTACATGGCAGCAGGCAAGAGAGAACTTGTTCAGGGGAACTCCTCTTTATAAAACCATCAGATCTCATGAGAAAGAACCCCCAATGATTCAATTACCTCCCACTGGGTCCCTCCCATGACACGTGAGATTGTGGGAGCTATAATTCAAGATGAGATCTGAGTGGGGACACAGCTAAACCATATCACATACTAGTAAGAAGTATGATGAAAGTGTGTAATAGACTTGAAGTAGTCTGAGAAGGTGGCAAAACTTTCCCACTGAAAATGGCATTTAGGCCAGACACAGTGGCCCATGCCTGTAATCTCAGCACTTTGGGAGGCCAAAGTGGGAGGATCACTTGAGTCCAGGGGTTTAAGATCAGCCTGGGCAATGTAGTGAGACTCTATCTTTACAAAAACATTTTAAAAAGGATAGCTAGGCATGGTGGCATGTGCCTGTAATCCCAGCTACTGGGGAGGCTGAGGTAGGAGGATGACTTGAACCAGGAAGGTCAAGAGTATGGTAAGCTATGATTGCATCACTGCACTCCAGCCTGGGTGACAGAACAAGATCCTGTCTCTTAAAAAAAAGAAAAGAAAATGGCATTTAATTGCAGATCTGAAAAACAGGCAGACATTTTCCTAGGCAAATATAGAGGGGTAAGAGTGTTCTAGGCCAGGGGTCCCCAACCCCAAGACAGCAATGACTGTCTTGCAGACTTTCCATTCAGGCACAGAACTTAATTGTGAACCAGACATATAAGTTCAAAGGATTCATAAAGGTAAATAGGGCAGCTGAGTCCTGGTCACTTACTTGAGGTCCAGGCAGGGATTCAGGATTAGAGGGAGAATGAGGTATTTGTGATGCACCAGATTTAAGCCATAGGAACAAAGCTGAAAGACTAGTCTTATGAACAAGGACAATGTACTGTGGGAGCCCTGAGGAAACCTGGAATTACCCCTGGGTCTAAAAAGTCACTTAAGAAAAATGTGGGGGCCCAGGTATCCTCACAGTGTTCCTGAGTCTGGGTAGTTTGCAAAGATTTGACTAAATTTCAGATTTCCCTGGATTGTAGGTCTTCCATTCTTTGTATCTCACTGCTTTAGTCGGGGATAGCTCAAGGGCTGCATTGTGGATCTAGCAGAAAGAAACTGGAGCGAAGAGACTGTAGAGAAGGGCAGTGCCAATGCCACCCTCTTGTTGTGTCTGGGTCTTCACATTGTCCTTTATAAGCTTTGCAACTCTCTAAAAGTGAACAAAGTATTTCTCTTGAAAGCTCAAAGAGTGTATTCCTAAATCCCACATCATCTATTGGTGAAATCTATTTTGCACTCACCTGCAATCTCACTGGATGTGTTCCTATCCCTTAATGTCTTTGTTCTTTAAAAAATAGATTTTTCTAGCTTTGAGAAATTAAATGCAAATTAATTTAAAAATTAAATTTGATCTTAGTTGAGGATCATGTACTGAACAGAAATGATTCAGAATAGGGAGGGGTAGCTCAGTATCACTGAGGAAACGAATGCCTATTTAACCTGTGTCAAAGATGAGCTCCCTTTTGGGATCATGGCTTGCTCTGAGTGTTGGGGAATATGATGAAATGTAACTCTCACGTCTCATTCTTATCTTTTAATTTTTCCTTTTCTACTCCAACTGCCTTACCTCCAATTAAGATTTGGCATCATATAGAAATATACCACTCTCCCTTAATTCTAGCCATAATCTCATTTTATTGTGAACCAACCTAATTTTGAGGAACTTCTAGGGAGTTTCACCATGTTAAATGTTGTGGAACTCATATTAGAGATGCCTTCAACTTGACCTGGGCCATGGGTCGTGCTGTCACACATATTTGCTTCCAGGAGGCCCCAACACCAGGGAAAAAGCGTACCACTCAGTAGTGCAGACTGGCTATAACATGTTAAGATGTCTTTTGCAAAATAAAAGATATCTCAATGAATATTCAGTATTTGGTAACAGACACACTAAAGGGGAAAAAAAAAAACAAAATATGCTGCAAGGAGTACTTTTCAGTGTCACTTTATGGTCCCTGGATGAGAAATGTTTTCATGCTCAATTATTATTCAGTCAAAACCTAAGTACACCTGATATCTGGTGAGTTAGTTAGGAGGTTTTCTACCTTGGTTGGTGGGAAGAGAAAGTATTCTTGGCCCTGTGTAAACCCCTATGATTACTTACTCTAATTCTCTTAGACGGTTTCTCTCTGGGCCTTGGGTAGTTTCCACCCATGCATGTGCTCATCAGTACTCTGCTGAAGACTCAAGGTCCCTCTGCAAACCCCCAAGTGCTCTCTCTCTGCAGCACTTTCCTCTCTGGAACTCTGCCTTGTGAACTTGAGATGCCATGGCCTCCCCACATTCCCAGCTCTATCTACCCAACTCAGGGTGATCGCTGGCCACTTGCCTGGATTCCCCTTGTTGTATCATTGCCTAGATACTCTCCAGACTATAAGCTAGGGCAATCATGGGGCTCACCTCTGCTTGTTCCCATCTTTCAAGGATCATTGCACTTTATTGCCTCATGTCCAATGTCTTGAATACCATTGTCTCATTTATTTTTGTCTGTATTTCTCAGTTGTTTCAGGCATGAAATCCTACTTACTTTATCTTGGCTGGAAGCAAAATCCCTCCAGAGCTATTTTAAGGTTGTTAAGATTGTCTTCAGTGCTCACTTTTTGAGGCCCCAATCCCTAGGATAACAAACCCATAAAGAATAATCTACATCTAAGAGTAAACTTTTATTTCATGGCAAAGTGAAATGAAAAGATTTTAACTATTCTTTTAAAATCCTTTTCCTGAGTCACTAATTTAATATACAGTTATTTATAGTTTCTCTGCAAAGGATTATTTTTATATTTACAGTAGCCTACTTACAAATCATTTTTATATTAATGAAATTGTTGTGAAGACTAAGTTTAATAGTTAATGAAGCTGCTAGAGTTTTACTTTTTCAGGCGTATTTTTACATATTTTTCATTTGGTTTTGCATATTTTTGATGCCTTTAAACAATTTCTTATGTATTTTCATGGGCTCTTAAATAGCTCACAGGCTCTAGCAATTGGCCCTATAGTACCTAACGGATAAAACAGCCCTGCTTTCTTCTGGAGTTCAGAGTGTTTTAGTATCACCCGTAGACTCTGGGCTTGGGAAGCCCTTTGTTTCCCCCAGTACAACAAGGCCCTGAGGTAATTTTCAGATTTCCCTCTGTTAGGTATTAGGCAGGAATATGGTTGTCCCCTTGGCTAAAACTGTGACTTTTAACCCAGCTAAAGAAGTTTCTTCACCAGCTCAAAAATTCTCATCCTAGGGACTCTGCTCTTAATTCTCCTAAATTAGTAGTTCTCCATCAGGGGAAGTCTCCATGCCTTTTTTCTCTCTCCCCTTGAAGAGGACATATGGCAAAGTCTGTAGAAATTTTTAGTTTTCACCCTTGGGTGGCAAAGGGAGAATTGCTACTATTGGCATTTTGAGGATAGAAGCCGGCAATATTACTAAACATCCAGCAATGTTCAGTAGAGCCCCTCACAACAAAGATCTTGCCTGCAAGATCAACAGTGACAGAGTTGAGAAAAAATGTTCCAGCCTAGGCAACATAGTGAGACCCTGTTTCCACAAAAACTTTAAAAATTAGCTGGACATGGTGGCATGTGCTGTAGTTCCAGCTACTCAAGAGGCTGAGGTGGGAGGATTGGTTGTACCAGGGAGGTCAATGGTGCAAGTGAGCTGTGATGGCACCACTGCATTCTAGCCTGGGCAACAGAGTGAGATCCTGTCAGAAAAAGAAAAGAAAGGAAAAAACACTGCTCAAAAATCAATGTAGGCTCAAAGTGCAGAATTCTTGGGCTTACTTCGAAGGGTACAATTTTTGGTGGGCTTGTTGTTGCCTAGCTTTTTAGATTTTTATTTTAGTGAACTCTATTAAGTCATTCTAATTTTGAACGGAATCATCATGACGTTTTAAAAAGATTAATTCAACTTATCCTCTATACAAAGAGCAATTTGTAGCTTCCTTAAAATCAAAAGTGCTGGGCTATTACAAATGACCATGGTCTGTGACTTGACCACTAGCAATTTAACTGACATCAAGGCTGGGCAGAAAGGCCCAGTAGGTCATGGAGACCCTTTTGAAGGGCATTTTTATTCTCTGCACATTCTCTGACTGATCATGTGGCTCTGACTTTGCACAGCTTAGAAATGAAAGAGGTTTGTTCCCCTCCTGCTATCACCATGCTCCATCATCATCCATTTTCTGTACCACAGACACAGATACTTTGTAATGGGTAATTATTTTTATTTGTCCCGAGTTACCTAGGAATGATTATATTTCTCATAAACAAGAGGAAAGAAATTATGTAGAAAATTCCATGGGAGCACGTGAGGTAGCATTGAATCTTTTACTGAAATTCATATTCCAATGAAGTCTGATTCATAATATATTTACCTCCTAGAAATGAAGAGCTTTATTTGAATTAATTAGCAAGAAACATCAGTGACTGTCAATATTGATTTTTTCTTTGCTTTAAGTTCCTATCTGATGTGGAAATAACCAATTCTGTAATTCTTATCCTTGAAGTATTCTAATTACGAGAGTTTGTGCATAATGAGCTTCAAGTACATAAACAAATTTTGGTAGCATCTATAGCTCTTCCTAGAACTTCATACATTAGACCTGGCATTGTTTTTAGAGTTTTAAAACATGTTAGGCTGATTCTTATCTTTGGAAACCTTTGCTCCTGCTGTTCCTTTTAGCTGAAATGCTTCTCTCTCTCATGTCTGATAGGGGAACACCAACACTATTTTAATCAACTTAGACAAGCTATCTCCTCTAACAAACCTTTACTTATGTTTATTCCAACTAGGGCTGCATTATTATTTCATGGGCCCTAAGCAGTTTTGTGGACACCTTTCTTCATGAAAAAATTAAAATTTGTATTTTACAATTGAATTGGCATAAAACTGAATATATTAATATTATATATTGAAAACATTTTTGTCTACCTAAAAGTTAACTTTTCTTCTGATTTTAAAATAAAATAAAACATTTTTGTAGACTGCTAAAAAGTGGGTCCTAGGCACTGTCTACTGTGCCTAAAAGATAACACATCTCTGACCACAAGGGTTAGAATTGATCATTCTTTGGCGCCACCATTATTTCTTTTGCATATAAGTGCCTATGATACATTGTTATATTTGTTTATATATTTTTCAGTCTCTTCTTGATATCTGTTAGCCCATAGAATACAGGGTATTTGACTAGCTTATTGCTTCTAGTCATGCCTAATGGGATACCTGGCATAATTTAAGAATAAGTGAATGAATAAATTATATGGCTTGTTATGGTATTTTGAAACCTTTGTCACCAAGAAACTCAAATTCATGAGAACACAGCAAGGCTGGGCTAAATGAGAATCTTGGTGGCTGCCATATGTGGTACTTCTTCAAAAAGAGTTGTGATGACTTTTGCTTTGAGAAGATGAAGTAAGACATACTTTTCCCTATTCCTTTCACTAAGTACAACTAGAAAGCTTGGATGCTTTATATAAAAGAAAAGAAGACTCAAGAGAGAGAAAAGCCAGACTGGCTAAGGACTTCACAACACAAGGAACAACATAGTAGTGACTTCTCAGGATTTTCTTTTGCCTCAGGTGTCTCAGACCTGATATTGGAGAAGCTGGCAACCACAAATGCCAATAGGAGCGGACAAATAATGACCCAAGGAAAGCCTGCTTGTTCTAGCCAAAGGGCCTGGAAAAGGGTAGCCGGACAAGCCAGACAACTTTTAGATAATAACCTCTTGACCCTAGTCAAACACCACAGAAAAAACTGAGGCCCCACCTCCACCTACTAGAAAGATTGAATTAAGTGCTTAGATATCCACCCTGGCCAGGAGGTAAGGAGGGTCCCAAAACTCTTGCTGGGTTCAGGACAGAGGCCAAGTGGGGAGCCAGGACTTTATTTCTTGATGAGCAATGAGTATCTTCCCTTCCATGGTGTTAAGAGAGAATATGTGGGGAGCCAGGATTCCTACTCCAACAGGCAGTAATGAGGCACTCCTACGCGTTCCTCACTGGGATGGTATCAGAGGAAGCCTAATGTGAAGTTAGAAATTTTACGACAAATAACAATGCCACCTTCTTGCAGTATCTGTGGAGGCCACCTAGGGGCAGTAATGAGGTACCTCTGTCTCCACCAGGGTGGTATCAGTGGAGGCCTAGTGGGAGTGCTGGACTCCACCTCTGTTAAGCAATAACAAGGGGCCCCTCTCTACCCATGTATAATAGGAGGCCAAGTGGAGAACCTAGACTTCACCTTCACATGGCAGTTACAAAGTGACATTCCGCCTCTACCCACTTGAGCAGCGTCAGGGGAGTTACAGTACAGCACAAGATCAAAAGAAAATTTTGAGCCTTATAATATCCTAAGGTTTTAATAATCACTTTTCATACCAAGAATCAAAAAGATCTCAAACTAATTATGAAAACACAATCAAAAGACACCAATGACAGGATAACATAGATGTTAAAATCCTGAAAAGGATCATAGAACAGCCATCATGCAAATGCTTCAGTGGAAAATTACAAATATCTTTGAAACAAATGAAAAAATAGTCTCAGCAAAGAAAGTAAGTTTTAATTACTGTAACTTTGTAATATATTTTGAAATCAGAAAGTATGATGCCTCCAGCTTTGTTCTTTTGCTCAAGATTGCTTTGGCGATTTGGGTCCTTTTTCCATGGGAATTTTAGGATTTTTTTTCTATTTCTGTGAAAAATGCCACTTGAATTTTGATAGGAATCACATTAAATCTGTAGATCACTTTGTATAGTCTGGACATTTTACCAATACTAATTATTCCAATCCATGAACATGGGATGCCTTTTCTTTTTTGGTGTCTTCTTCAATGTCTTTCATCAACATGTACTGTTTTCAGTGCAGATATTTTACCTCTTTAAATTTATTCCTAAGTATTGTATTCTTTTTCAATGCTATTGTGAATTGACTCATTTTCATAATTTCTTTTTCAGACAGTTCATTGTTAGTGTATAGAAACAAAACTGATGTATGTTTTGTATGGTAAGAGTTTTACTAAGGGTGTTTGTTGTTTTTGTTTGTTGTGGTGAAAGGAATGAGAATCTTCCACCATACTAGGTTTTACTGAATCATTCTTCAAAATAGTTGTTCCAAATAGCACTTCTTTCAGCTGTGTAGAAGAGCATTTGCTGCTCCATATGGCCAACCTTTGATGCTATCAGAGTTTTACCTTCTTCCAATTTCATGGATGTGAAACAAAAAATATTATTTTAGTTTTTATAACCTATTAATGAGGTTGTAAATATTTTCATGTTAGTCATCCATATTTCTTCTTTAAATTGACTATACCCATTTTTTCTATTAGGTTGTATAATTTATATAATTTCTATTAAGTTGTTAGTCTTTTCTGATAATTCCCAATATTAATTTTATTTTGACATTGATTTGTATTTTTTACATCATAAATTGCTTTCAAAAATCTGGATTGGTATAATAATAGTAAGGTAATCAGTATCTGAATTAAATGATCTTTGAAATTAAAGTTTAACAAGGAAAGTCTCTGAGTAAAAATGGCTAACTAGTAAAATGTAAATATAAAAGACATCACTAATGTGGAGGGACCTGAGTGGCCAAACACTGTGAAGTTATTTGTATCCCATATGAGTGCTTACCAATGGGTCACCTCAGCAGAGGAGGATTTTAATGATCAAGTGGATAGAATGACCTATGACCTGTGGATACCACTCAGCCTCTTTCCCCAGCCACCCATGTCATTGCCCAATGGGCCCATGGACAAAGTGGCCATGGTGGCAAGGATAGAGGTTACACGTGGGCTCAGCATCATGGACTTCCACTCACCAAGGCTGACCTGGCTACTGCCACTGCTGAGTGCCCAATTTGCCAGCAGCAGAGACCAACACTGAGCCCTAGATATGGCATCATTCCTTGGGGTGGCAGGTTGATTATATTGGACCTCTTCCATCATGGAAAGAGCAGAGGTTTGTCCTCACTGGAGTAGACACTTACTCCAGATATGGGTTTGCCTATCCTTCACGCAATGCTTCTGGCAAGACTATCATCTGTGAACGTATGGAATGCCTTATCCACCATCATGGTATTCCACACAGCATTGCCTCTGAACAAGGCACTCATTTTGTGGCTAAAGAAGTGCAGCAGTGGGCTCATGCTCATGGAATTCACTGGTCTTACCATGTACCCTATCATCCTGAAGCAGCTAGAATGATAGAATGGTGGAATGGCCTTTGGAAGTCACAATTACAATGCCAACTTGGTGACAATACTTTGCAGGGCTGGGGCAGAGTTCGCCAGAAGGCCATGTATGCTCCGAATCAGTGTCCAATATACAGTACTGTTTCTCCCATAGCCAGGATTCATGAGTCCAGGAATCAAGGAATGGAAGTGGAAGTGGCACCACTCACCATCACCCCTAGTGATCCACTAGCAAAATTTTTGCTTCCTGTTCCTGCGACATTATGTTCTGCTGGCCTAGAGGTCTTAGTTCCAGAGGGAGGAACACTGTCACCAGGAGATACAACAATGATTCCATTAAACTGAAAGTTAAGAGTGCCACCTGGAAACTTTGGGCTTCTCCTACCTTTAAGTCAATGGGCTAAGAAGGGAGTGACAGTATTGGCTGGGATAATAGACCTGGACTGTCAAGATGAAATCAGTCTACTACTCTACAACTTAGGTAAGGAAGAGTATGCATGGAATCTATTAGGAGATCCATTAGGGCGTTGCTTAGTATTACCATGCCTTGTGATTAAGGTCAATGGGAAACTACAACAGCCTAATCCAGGCAGGACTACAAATGGCCCAGACCCTTCAGGAATGAAGGTTTGGGTCACACCATCAGGAAAAAAAGCACAACCTGCTGAGTTGCTTGCTGAAGGCAAAGGGAATATAGAATGGGTAGTAGAAGAAGTTAATCACCAATACCAGCTATGACCACTTGACCAGCTGCAGGAATGAGGACTGTAATTGTCCTAAGTATTTCCTCCTTCTTTTGTTAAAAACATGTTTGTGCACGTATACACTTGTACTAAGAAAATATCTTCATTTTATTTCCTTTATCATGTGACATAAGATTTATTGACTTCATATCAGCATTTAAGTATTGTTAACTTTATGTATTTGGGTTGGGGATTGGTACATTTCCAGTTGTATGAAGGGTAGTTGTATTACATTAGACATAATTATGACCTTATTACTGTCTTTATTTGAAGATTATGCATAATCTCAGAAGATGTGCATGGGTTCAAGTTGACAAGGGGTAGACTTGTGATGGTTAATACTGAGTGTCAACTTGATTGGATGGAAGGATGCAAAGTATTAATCCTGAGTGTGTCTGTGAAGGCATTGCCAAAGGATATTAACATTTGAGTCAGTGGGCTGGGGAAGGCAAACCCACCTTAATCTGGATGGGCACCATCTAATCAGCTGCCAGAGAATATAAAGCAGGCAGAAAAACTTGAAAAGGTTAGACTGGCCTAGCTTCCCAACCTATATATTTCTCCCATGCTGGATGCTTCCTGCCTTCAAACATCAGACTCCAAGTTCTTCAGTTTTGGAACTCAGACTGGCTCTCGTTGCTCCTCAGCCTGCAGATGGCCTATTGTGGGACCATGTGACTGTGTGAGTTAATACTTAATAAACTCTCCTTTATATATATATATATATATATATATATATATATATATATATATATATATACACACACACACACACACATACACACACACACAGACACACACATATATACACATACACACACATATATATACACATACACACACACATACATTCCATTAATTCTGATTGATTATGTCCCTCTGGAAAACCCTGATTAATACAATTAAGAAATTAAAAGAAATGTCCATACTACCCAAAGAGGTCTATAGATTCAATGAAATCCCTACCAAAATTCCAATGTAATTTTTCACAGAAATAAAAACAATTCTAAAATTTGTATGGAACCACAAAAGATCTCAAACAGTCAAAGGAATAGAGAAAAAAAAGAATAAAACGGAATGCATTACACTACCTAACTTAAAAATCTATAAGCTATAATGAACGAAAACAACATGGTCCTGGCATTAAAAACAGACATTTTGACCAATAGAACAGTATAGACAGCCCAGAAATAAGCCCATATATTTGTGGTCAATTGATTTTCAACAGAGGTGCCAAGAAAGCACTAGTGGAGAAAGAATAGTCTCTTCAATAAATGGTGTTGGGAAAACTGGATCTACACAAGCAGAAGAACAAAATTGGACTCTTATTCCACACCATAAACAAAAATTAACTCAAAGTGGATTACGTACTTAAACATGAGACCCGAAACTGTAAAACTACAAGAAGAAAACAAGAGAAATGCTTCACAATATTGGACTGGACAAAGACGATTTTAGATATGACCCCAAAAGCACAAGCACAAGCAAAATATAAACAAACGGGATTACACCAAACAAAAAAGCTCTGCACAGCAAATGAAACAGTAGAGTTAAGAGACAACCTACAGATCAGGAGAAAATATTTTCAAACATACATCTGATGAGGGGCTAATATTTAAAATATATGAAGAACTCAAACAACTCAATAGCAATAAAACAACCCAATCTAAACATGGTCAAAGAATCTTTGTAGACACTTCTCAAAAGAGGACATACAAATGGCCAACAGATATATATTAGATATATTATATATCTAATATATATTAGATATGTAATATATATCTAATATATATATTTATAAATTTATATATATTATATGTATATATATATTCTCATCACTGATGATCAGGGAAATACAAATTAAAACCACAATGAGGTATTACTTCATACCTGTTAGAATGGCTATTATAAAAAAGATGAAAGATAGTAAGTGTTGACGATGGTGTGGAGAAAAAAAAATGCTTGTGCACTGTTGAATGGGAATGTAAATTAATATATCCATTCTGGAAAACAGTATGGAGGCTCCTCAGAAAACTAAGTATATAATTTATCATATTATCCAGTAATCCCACTTCTGAGTGTGTATCCAAAGGAATTGAAATCAGTATGCCAAAAATATTTATGCGTTCTCATGTTCATTGCAGCATTATTCACAACAGCCAAGATATTAAAACTACCTAGGTGTCAATTATCAATGAATGGATAAAGAAATTGGGTATATGTATGTGTGTGTGTGTGTGTGTGTGTGTATGTGTATGTATATACATGTATGTATGTATATGTATATATATGTATATACACACACACATACATATATACACACACCAAATTACTATTTGGGGGTGTGTGTGTGTATATATACACACACACAACACACATACATATATACACACACATACCTAATACACCAGATTTTCTTCATTCATTAATAATTGACACCTAGGTAGTATATATATAGTGTGCATGTGTGTATATATATATATACACACACATATATATACACACATACTTATATACACATATATATAGTGTGTATGTGTATATATATATACACACACATACATACATAAACCAAATTTTGTTTATCCATTCATTGATAATTGACACCTAGGTAGTATATATATAGTATAGTGTTACTATACTATTTGGTGAACATATATATGTAGTATTGTAATGGAATACTATTTAGCCTTAAAAAGGGGGAAATAACATGGATGAACCTGGAGCACATCATGCTAAGTAAAATAAGCTAGGAACAGAAAGACAAATACCGTATGATTTCACTTACATGTGGAATCTAAAAAAGTTGAAATCATAGAAATAGTGAGTAGAATGATGGTTACCAGTGGCTGGAAGAGGGGGATGGATGGAGAAAGGGAAGATGTTGATCAAAGGGTGTAAAGTTTCAGATAGACAGGAGGCATAAGCTTTAATGATCTGTTGTGCAGAATGGTGATTATAATGATATATATTTCAAAATTCCTATAAAATTAGATTTTAAATGTTTTGGTAGTAAAAATAAGTACCTGAGGTGATACATTTGTTAATTATGCTGATTTAATCATTTCATATTATAAAAATCAAAGCACCACATTATACCTCATAAATATATATAACTATTATTTGTCAATTAAAGAAAAGTGGGAGACAGCTAATGGGAACAGGGCTTGCTTTTGGGGTGAAAAAATATTTTGGAACTTGGTGGTTGTTGCATAATACTGTGAAGGTACTCAATGTCACTGAATTGTATTCTTTAAGATGGTTAACTTTGTATTGTGTGAATTTCACCTCAATCAATGAAAAAGATGGAAAAAATAAAATTAAAACGTAAGCAAAAGACTGGAAGAAAATATTGAAAATATGTATCTGATAAAGATTTGTATATAGACTGTACAAAAAACCTTTACACCTTGAAAATAATAAGACGAACAACCCAACCACAAAAGGTATTTGAATAGACACTTCACAAAAGAATATATAAAAATGGCTAATAAGCACATGGAAAGATGCTCAACATAATTTTTTATTAGCAAAATGAAAATTAAAACCACAATGAGATATCATTTCACGCCCAGTAGAATAGCTATAATAAAAAAGATAAACAATAAAAATGTCAATGACAGTGTGGAGAAATGGGAACTCTCATACATTGCTGGTGGGAATGTAAAATGATATAGCTACTTTGGAAAACGTTTTAGTAGTGCTGTTAAAAAATTAAACATAATTTAACGTATGACCCAGCAACTCTCTTAGGTGTCTAATATCCATGAGAAATGAAAATATAAATCCACACAAAGAATTGCACACAGATGTTATTAGCATGGTTTTCCATAATATTGAATACAACCAAATACTGGATATAGCCAAAAATTCAAAACAATCTAAATGTCTACCAACTGGTAAAAGTGCAATAGCCATACAATGGAATATTATTCGGCAGTTAAAAGGAAAAAAATTACTGAATGTGCAACAACATGAATGAATCTCAAAAATATGCTACGTGAAGAAATGCAGAAATAAGAGGTCGTGTATTATATTATTCTATTCATTTAAAATATCCAGAAAAGGCAAATCTGTAGAGTCAGAAAGCAGATTACCTGGCTTTGGGATATGGTGAAGGAGTTGATGGTGGGAATTAACAGTAAATAGACATGATAATTCTTTTAGGGGTGATTAAAAAGTTCTAAAACTATCTTATGGGAAAGTTGCACAATTTGGTAAATTTATTTAAAATATTGAATTGTACACTTAAAATGAGTGAATTGGTATATATAAAATATACCTCACTGTAGTTACTCCCGTCTCTTTGTGTGTGTGTGTGTGTGTGTGTGTGTGTGTGTGTAGCCATATACATATAAAAAGCTTGGTTGCATTTTGGACCAGAAAAATGAAAATAGAGGGGAATTTTGTATCCTAAAGCTTGTCTTATATTCTCCACTTTATTGTTATTCTTTATTAATTACATGGAGAAGCCATCTAAAACACTAGGTGTTTGATGCCTTTGCTTTTTCTCGTGCCTCTGCCTTCTTGAACATGATTAATATTTAATTTTCTTTTCAGATATACAACACTGTATTTGGCTGATGCTAACAGGAAAGTTCATTTATATCATAAATACTAAGTAAATTCTAAGATATTTGGGTTAAGTAAGGGCAAAATTAAAATGGTTGTCCATTTTAAAATGATGGTTATCCAATCAATTCAATGTGTTTTCTACATATAGATTCCTTTCTTATTGTAGAAAATAACATCCTAAAATATAATGGTGAAATAACACATGTAGTATGGGTATGATTTTATAACAGAAAATATCCAATTTTAATTGAAAAAAATTAAGTTGCCTAAAACTTAAATACTGTGGTTGGTATGGATTTATAAAGCACATAATATTAAATTTGATCAGAGAAACTTTTAATTGACAAGTGAGGAGTTGATATCTCAAAAGGGAAGGATATGTATTTTAAAGTTTCATTCTGGAAAAGGGCAGAAAGAAACTTAGGAAGGATAGAAATGAAGACATTAAAATTAATGTCTGACCTTTTAAAAAGTACAGCTGGCCATTCAAATAGACTGGTACTTCCTATGTTACCTTTCATACTGTAATCAAAATCTACAAGAACTGTTGGTAGGGATGACAGAGAAACAGAACAAATGAAAAATAATGACTTTAAGAGCAGATATCTGAAATGTGTAGTATTGCTTTGGCTAGAGAATAAAAAATGTACTGGATTTTTAAAACTCTGGACTGGAAATTTCATTAAAGCTTAAAATCTTTACTTCATTGTATTAAGAAGAATCAAAACTAACTAATCTCCTAATACAATTATATTTTCAGTTCAAGGCAGGGAAGATGTGTTCTAATAAAATATTTAATGACAATCTGCTATTGCCCAGCTACTCCATTCTTGTAAGCTAAGTGAATGTCTTATAAGTTAAATGAAATGTGTTATGCCTTTACTGTTTTATGTTTGGGTCACACACAGGGCTGAGGGGAACCAGTGAAACAGATCGGTGACATATTAACCTGAAGTTGTTCATGGCTGTGTATTCAAGAGAGCAAGGACAAATAATGGTCAAGGAAGGAAGTCAGGGATTGGTGGCTCTGTACTAAGTGTCAGCTTCAAAGGGAGAGACCAGAGCATAAACAGACAATTCTCTAGGTTGCAAATTGGGAGGATTAGGAACAAGTAAGAGAGATCCATGCAGGATGGACAAGAAAAAAAAGTTTTATACCAAAAATTGTATTTCATGGCATTAGGGCAGTCTACTGGGGTAAGGCACTATGCAGTACTAGGCAATTAGAATTCTATTCACTAGCTATGTGCACAAGCGGCTCCTGACCTGGTCATTTTGGCTGTAAAACTATTCATGGCAAGTATATATTATTTGCTTTTTATTGGAATGATTATTAGTCTGACTTGACTGTGTTGTAGATCACTGTATTGCTTTTGCACACAGCCTGCTTATCTAGAAAGCTGATATCTAGTAGCTGATATTTTTATGTAAGTACCTAAGGGACTTCTCAATATATGGTTCTTATACTATGCAACCTATTTCTATTTCAGCCTGGACAGTTTTTGACGGTGCAGTCTTGCTATATGGTGTGAGAAATGGCTGTAGGAAACAACACTCAACGAAGTTATTCCATCATCCCGTGTTTTATATTTGTTGAGGTATGTGTATTTTTTAACCTTTATGGACAAATTGAAATAAAAGTAACAGTTTTTATTCTGATAACTTAGATTATTTTATAAAATTAATTTTATGATTGGTAAGTCAATTTTGATAGCACAAATATTGGTAAAGATTAATAAACTATGCAAAGTGTTTCTTAAATAGGAAGTCATAGAGTAAGAATTTTTTAAACTTCACCTTTGGATATATAATATATCCAAATTAATATATCCAAGAAATATAATAAAATGAATATTGTGTTTTATTATATTTCTTCTATTTTCGACAATGATGTGAATGTTAACTATGAAAGAGAATGAAGCATTTTAATTAATTTTTTTATTAAAAAATCAATATCCTGTTTCAGGAAGTCAATAATCCATGCATTTTACAGATGATATTAGTTCATGGTCTTTTGCCTTGGAACCCAAATAAAGAAAAATAATCTTAGAGTTTACTATCTCCTCTGGACATTTTAGTAGAGTATTGGGAGCTTGTGCAATGTATGATTTCTTTTGTCCTGAATTACTTTGTTCAGTTGCTCCAACTTTGTACTAGCAGTTTTTCCAGCACCTTTTTGGTTAAATTTCCTGAACTCCTTTTGTACTCTACCTCTGTTTCTATGTTTGCTATAGAGGAGACAAAGACATGAATTTTTTAGGAAATTCGGAAAAAAACTGCTTTCTAGGTTATCTCAAAATAAGATGTTGATTTGCCAGAGATGTTATTGTATCTGCCTTATCAAGAAAATAGGGCGTCTAGTGGATCGGTTTTTTTTTAGCCTAAAGATCAGACCTAAAATATGACAGTGTAAAGAGCTGAAAAGTAAGTATCCTGAACTTCTGTCTGGGTAACTGAAGGATAGTCTCCACATCCCAGGGGTGAGCTGTAGCATATTCTTTCTTACGGCATCTTTTAGGCTGACTGTGGGAGAAATGTGTGTTGATCTACTTTATTATCCATATAAAAACAAAGTTGGGTTAAACTACTACTCATATTAGCAAAAATGTACTTTCAGTACATCTGTTGTTTATACAAATCCTGTGAAACACTTAGACAAGAACTTTTATGTTCTCCAACTTGAAATAACTTTACCTGCCTATATAGTCAGATAATTTTGAGCATTCTGATTTTTGATCAGATATATGGGTGTTTGGCTGATCATTGAGTTTCACCTTATAGACATTGCTTGGTACTTTTAGATGAACAAATATTTCATAACTTATTTTCTGGTGATATTTGATAATCTGTTCATATTGCAGAACCAGGTAAAGATAGGAGAGAAGGTTGGAACAGAGATGTTAATATAAGCGAAGTTACATATAGACTCAATTTAAGCTAAATATCTGAATGGGTAAACAAAGAACTCATCATTCAACAAGAAACACATATTCTTAATATTTTGCATTTAACTTGCTATACGATGCCAAAATAACTCCATTCAGACAATAGTGATAATTATACATATTGTGGGTTCTGGTTACGATTCTTCTTATTAATATTGTGGTGAAGGGAAAAAATCATTTTTCCTGCTGCTTATGCGAAAAAGTTAGAAGGTAAAATAACAGTACCTTTTTCAGTGTTTGCTTTCTCTTTTGTTATATGAAAAATAATTTTTTAAGTAGGCTGCGGGAAGTTAGGGAATAAGTCATCCATCATCATCTTTATCCTCCCTGCAGCAATTTTATTTTATATTTTCTTAAAAATCAAGGAGGAAGCAACCCTCAAAGTGAGATGTTTAATTTATTGCTGGAAGCTGTAGTCTCCGAAGATTTTCAGCTCTCTAATGTGTGAATGAAGAGCTTGGCCGGTGGAGCAGCAACAAAGGAGATAAATTAGTTCTTCTGTAGCTTACCCTGACACAAACATAAATAGAAGTCTAAAAATCTGGGAGAGGAAAGATGGTTTATTCTTTTTCTTGTTGTATTGTTGTTCTTATTTTGCATGGAAATTCTCTTAGAACTGTCTTAGAAATAGGCAGGCAAAAGGGAAGGGAAGTAGGACACAGAAGACATTGAGTGGGAAGGAGGTGAATCTCAAAGTGGCTCTCATGATTCTCATGTATTTCATTCACCAAACACTTATTGTTTACCTATATTATTCCAGGTACTATAACAAGGATATCACAAAACTTGGTAAAAAATGTCAACTTGACCAATGAATATCTTTTCACTGTTTTTTTAATTATGAAAGAATTTAATCACAGAAAATAACTGACATCCCTGCACCTACCATCAAGACAAAATCTTAAAGTTTTGTCATATTTGCTTCAAATATTTTTGTCAAGGAAAATAAAATGTTACAGATATGGCCAAAATCCTATTGTCCTGAAGCCAGAAGTCATTATATGTATGAAGTTTGGGGCTTCTTTTCCCTACATGTTTCCCATGCATGGTTTATATTTTCCTACATATGTATATATTCATAAATATTTTAGGAAAATTTTACATAAATGACACTATGCTGAACCTTTCTTTTGCAACTTGCCTTTTCATTCAACATTATGTTTCTGAGATTTATCCAGATGGGCAGTCCATTCGTTTTAATTGTTGCAATTTATCCTATTGTGCAAATATACCTACTGAGGGACAGTTTGTTTATGCGTTTGTTTGCTTAATATGCTTTTTCACTGTCATAAATGTTTTTGCAGAAAATATTCTTATTTTTGTCTCTTTGTGCATATATGCAAGAGCTCTCTTAGTTTGACACATAGCAGAATTGCTAGGGGATAATTACATTTGCCAGTTGTTTTCTGCTGCATTATAGAAGCAACCTTGATATTTGTATATCAATTTCTTTGAAGAAATTTTAAAAACCTCTATTATTAATTTTATGAGTATGTCATATATTCTGTAGTTTTTTTTCAGACAATTACATCATCTATAAGTGGCAGCAGATTTATTTCTTCTTTTCCAATTGTCATGTTTTTTACTTTTTTGCCTTGTCTTATTGCTTTGGTTAAGAACTCCCCTGTAACGTTGGATAGAGGCAGTGGTAGAAAACATCTTTGCCTTGTTGCCGACTTTAAAGAAAATATTTCAAGTGTTTTACTATTGAATTATGAATAAACGTGGATTTTTACTTTTTTCTTGCTCCCTACCATCATCTACTTTGGATTACTTAATTTGGTTTAATCCCCTATTTCCTTCCTTTATTGGTTAAAAATTATATTTCTTTTTTTAAATTACTTTAAAATTTTAAATATACATATTTGACAACACAAACTGAAGTTCATCAATAGCTCCATGATTCTCTTAAACAATCAATGACCATTCTTTGGCTACTTCGAGCTCTTATATGTCATCCTTCATTTTTATATTTTCCTTAAAATTTTCACCTTTTTTTCAGTTGGGCTTCTTTGAATTTACCTGTATTCATCAGTTTCTTTGCTTACTATTCCTCTCCTACTGTAATTTGCTCATGAAGTTTATCCTTTAGCAATCCTTTCAGCAAGAGTCTAGTACTGTTGATGAAGAGATTCCAATTCTGAAGAGATTTATTGTGAGCTAAATATGAGTGACCACGCCCTGTGACACAGCCTGCAGGAGACCCTCAGAACATGTGCTCAAAGTGGTCAGGGTGAAGCTTGGTTTCATACATTTTAGGGAAATATGAGACATCAATCAAATACATTTAAGATATACATTGGTTTGATCCAGAAAGTGGAACAATCTGAAGGGGAGAGCTTTCAGGTTATAGGTAGATTTAAAAATTTTCTGATTGGCAATTTGTTGAAAGAGTCATTATCAATAGAAAGGAATGTCCGGTTTGATAAGAGGTTATGGAGACCAAAATTTTATCATACAGATGAAGCCTCCAGGTAGCAGGCTCCAGAGAGAATAGACTGTAAATGTTTCTTATCACACTTAAAGTCTGTGTAGATGGTAAACGCTGGTCAACTTTTCCTGAATTCCAAAAGGGAGGAGGGTATAATGAGGCATGTCTGACCCTCCAACTTTGTCATGAGTTGGGGGGTTAAATCCTCCACCTCTTTTGGTGCTCTGAAATTTCAATATAATATGTCTAAGTGTGAATTTATACTAGCTAGGACTTATTGTGTATCCTGAATATTAAGTCATGTTTGTCACTAATTCTGTAAAACTCTCAACCATTGCTGCTTCAAATATCTTTTCTGCAACATCTATGTGTATCTTCTCATTCTTTCACTCCATCTCTTAGCCCATCTCGTTGCTGCTTTTTAATTTCCAGAAATTCTGTGTGTTTTTAAAATTATTTTTATAGTGTCATTTTCTGTGCTTATGGTTTTAGTTTGTCTTTAATTATATCAAATGCAATTATGTATTTTCAGATTGTCCTATTATCTGAAAATATTGGCACTCTGATCCTCCTGTTGGTTGTGTCTGCTTTCTTTAGCTCATGGTGGACTGTTTCCTTATATTTGTGGTTTTTGTTTAGCTCCAGTTTAGCCGAGCTTACTTCTTCTGTAAGGTTCATGTAGACCTTAGGTGTTGAGAGTATCACTTTGGAGGAATTTTGCATAAATGTTTGTTGCCCTTGGGTTTAATTTCTATATTCAGCAACCAAACTTGTAAAGTCTCAAACGTATCGTCAAAGTTGATCTTTCCTTGTAGTCTTCCTATACCAACAGGTGGATTATATAGAACACTTTCAGTTTACCTGTGAATTGAAAGGGAAGGTGAGAGGGATAACCATTGTTTGTAGGTATTTGCAGTGGAATGTTTTCATGCCATTTTTGTTTCATGAATACATTCATTCATTCATTCCACAAACACTTATTCAGTAACTACATTTTTCCCCAAGGCATTATGTCTTTTGCCATTTTGGATACTTTACATAGTAACTATCCTTCTGTAACTTGGATCTCACTAAGTTCTTCATAGAGCCGGGACTGTTGGGCCATGCTTGAAATGTGTGTGACAGATCCAGGGTGGTAATGAGACATATAAGCTGCTCATAGTGGAATGCTGATGTGCATTTTCTTGGTGATTTTAATTGTATGAGCAGAGTTTTGACTTGGGGATGTTTTGTTTATTTGTGGCAGTTGGTGGGGAGAACAGATGCCAACCAGCCTCTACAATTCAAAGTTGCTGATGACTGAGGAGCCTGCCTGGGACTCACCCAGAAGGCTGAAATAGTGGTAGAGAAGCTGCCTGACAATACAGCAGGCAACATAAAAGGTCTTATGGGGACCACAAGTCAGGAGCAGCATTGCCCCTGGTAATCCTTGAATTTCTTATAGACCAAAAGGAAAAGTTAAGATGCCACTGGAGAGAGAACAAAGTTTGTAGATTACAAGAGCACCTACAGGGAAAAGCTGAAAGGGAGAGGATTAACAGTGGGAGGAAAGCAGAATGGATCAAGAAGTATATGTAATGGACATGGCAGGCAGTTCTGAAAACCAAATCCTTGAATGACAGACATTCAGAAAAATTTCTCTTTTGTACATCTCCCAGTCTCAGCTGATCTTGAATTGTAGCTTGTAGTCCTGGCCAGATCCCTTAAAAATAGGATAGTGATTTTAAAAGCCAGGATATAAACTTTTCTATCACTTTTCAGACAGAATCGCTAAAATTTCAAGGTAGTCCACAATGATATTTCTGGCTGACAGGTCATAGCTCTTTACTGCTCTGGTTCTACCAGAGCAAGCTGAAACAATGCTGAGCCAGACAAAAGCTAGAGAAGTCAGATGGTGCAGGAAAAGGAGAAAATTGACAATCTTTAATGAACATGAGGACATCTATTTTCTCATCATTTTTTCTCCTTAAACTCATAACATTACTTTTTGTTAGAATAAAGGTACTTAAACATACCTCAAAAATTAAAAAGAGATAAAATTCAAATAGTCTGTGATTTTCATTCTTAGTCCTTTTTCCCTTCCTTCTGCCTTCCCTTCTTCCTTCTCTCCCGTTCCACTTCTGTTACTCTTTCTCTCTTCCTGTTTTCTTCCTCCTTCCTTTTTTTCACTGTCATTTCAGCAAAACTTCTCATGCTTGAGACTTTTTTTGTAAAAAGGACTTCTCTGAGGAAAAACACATTCTAATTGGTGAGTGAAACATCTGAAAAACAGGAATGTAAACTTCCTGAGGTCTCTCATGCCTTCTCACAGCTAATACCAGGCATATTTTCCAAAATGCTTAAGACTGAGATGCCCTGTTTGACAGATATTCCCAGACATCAGTGGATTCCTCTCAAGAAAATTTTACCGTGTTCTCTATGAAACCATTAATAACTCAGCCAAGTCTCTTTTATATATATTTGTGCTAATAGCAACTCTAAGTGGAGCTTAGTTACCATAGCAGACAATATTAAGTACCAGGAATTGGACAGAATGAATGAAGTTGTTGTTTGATGTGTACAGGTCTGACAGTTTTATCATTTTGATGGTTGCTCATACTTGCAATTTTTATTGCCTATTTTTGACAACTCAATTTTCTCAGCTTGAACCTAGCAGGTGATTGTTATAAATTGCAGACTGCAGATAAATAATATGAAGTTCAGCAAGAACTTGATGATTTCGAGTGTCTTTCTCTGGGGCCAGAACTTAAAGAATTCCATATCATCACTTTTGGACATTGAATACCATTTCAATGTTTCCCTTATTTTGTGTGTCTCAGGTTTTGAAAAACGAATTTCTCTTGGCCTTGCTTTTGGCCCTTTACTTGCAGGTGCCCAAATTCAGCAGTGCTGACTGCCCTGTTCCTGAGACTTAGATTGCAACTCTTACATTTTTACATTTAAGTAACATTGAAAGCTTTTTCTCTAAAGAAGCAAAAGAGGCTTTTTAAAAACTCTGCTAGATCTTATTAAAGTATCATAATTTTATCCTTATATAGAATGAGTGAGAAGAGAAAACAATTTGATGTCAAAAGCACAGAGTTTGAGTCCTGGCTCTGCCATTTATTGCTAGTATAAACTTGGGGAATTTCTTTGGACCCCAATTGCTTCATCTGTGAAATGGAAATAAAAATGACTTCCTTATGGGAACTTCAAGGGGGGAAAAAAAACGTGGCTGTACCTGAATGTGCTTGCCAAGAGGTAGGTGGTTATAAATGTTAACATGAAAATAATGAAAAACAACAGCTTCTACCCAATATAAAACAACAAATTTGAAAAGAAAACCAATGAAACACACACACACATACACACATACACATACAACCTTGATAGTAAGAGAGGGACTCTGCATAGTTTAATCCCTAGAAATGTGACATTGCTGGGCTTGAATATTTTTATAATATATATTAAGGTGGTTACTGAATAAGGCTTCAAACAAAGTAATAAAAATTTTTGAGAGTATTTTAAATTGCAATGACAAATATAAAGTACTTCTGCATGCATTTTCTTACTTAAACATCATTTGACTAGTGTTTGCAATATCAGAATGAGGACAATACCAATATTCAAGTATCTATTTTTCATGGTATTGAAATATCAGTGCTAAGTTCTAAAATGAGCTATGGTTTCCAGCACCCTTTATCCTTGTCTTTAGATGCTCTTCCAATTGAGTGAGGGTTCCTCTGTTCTTCAGAATTGAGGCTCTACAAGTAGAGTATTTTGAGATATAGTCCACTCTTAAATTGTCACAAAGAAGAGAAGAGAATGTAGGACTAAGAAAATGGGTCTGGCACTGGAGGACAAGGAATCAGGAGAGAAGGAAATACTGCTCTCACAGAAATCAGGGGGTTAGACTCCAAGGGAAGGACTGGGAGTTGAGCATGGAAATATCCCACCCCCTGTCTTTCTGTAATTCCCCTACTATCCCCTTTTCCTATATTCCTTAATGGTTCATCCTTCTCTCCCCATCCTGCCCTTTCAGAGATAATAAAGACCCAATCTGACTCTGGGAGTGGGGCGGGAAATACAAATCTCATAAGTATAAGATATACAGCCTCACTAGTAATCTATAAAATGGTAATGATAACTGTAACATACCATGGAAACATTTTGAATGAGAAGGGATAAGGTCAGAATGAAAGTGCCTTTGCTCTTGTCAACATTTTGATGAACTAGATAAATCTGCACATATCTTAAGATATATTATTCAGGTTTCAGATTTTTTATGTCCCCAAAATTGGTGTTATATCATTAAATACACCATATTTGACATTTGTATGGTATTTTAGTATAAAACTGGAGTACTGAAAAAATCAATAGGATAATATTGACCCTATGCAATAGAAATTCATCTTCACTTTTTAAATTTCAAATGAAAAGGTATAGAGGAGCTAATTGATTTACTTAAGGCTACATTGCCAATAGATGTTACACTTGAGATTTAAATGTAACATAAATGCAACTCTTATATTCCTTCCACTACAAATATGTAGGCATAATTATTGGTCTCAGAGTCACATTCAGGAAGTCAACTTTCTCCACTGGATAACAAAGATAGAGTAAGGAAGTCCTTTCTGATATGTTCAGACATACAGAAATGTTGAAATATGAGACTTCTACAATCTGCCCTCCTTTAAGAGCTTAAAGAATATTTTTACATTTTAATCCAGGTAAATCTCAACTATCTGGAACTCTGGATACAGGCTCATTTTGTTTGATGGAGGTTTAGCTGATAATCAGAAAACTCCTTTGACGTCTATAACTGTTAAGTAACATTCTTTTAAAAACGTATTTTGAGTGATTTCAAGCATATTCTATATAATAAAACATAATTTAATAATTGCTCAAGTACTTACAACCCAGCTATATAAAATCTTAACATTTTGACATTATTTAGTTCAGATTTAAAATAAAATAATAAAAGCATAACTGATATAGTTGAAGCTCCCATGAACCCTTCCATACAGGGTCTTGTCTTCCTCTTTGCCTCTCCAGTGATCATCACCAAACTGAATTTGATGCATGTAGTTTTCTAAGATTTGAACAATTTTCTAAAATGTGTTTACTTTGTGCCTTAAAAAGTTCAAAATGCTGACCGGGCGTGGTGGCTCACACCTGTAATCCTCGCACTTTGGGAGGCCGAGGTGGGCAGATCACCTGAGGTCAAGAGTTTGAGATCAGCCTGACCAACATGGAGAAACCCCGTTTCTACTAAAAATACAAAAAATTAGCCAGGCATGGTGGTGCACGCCTGTAATCTCAGCTACTTGGGAGGCTGAGGCAGTAGAATCGCTTGAACCCGGGAGGCGGAGGTTGCGGTGAGCCGAGATAGAGCGCCGTTGCACTCCAGCCTGGGCAACAAGAGTGAAACTCCATCTCAAAAAAAAAAAAAAAAGTTAAAACGCTGAGTGCAATTACATGTAGTTTTTTAAATAAGGTATTGACCACAGGTTGTGATTGTAGGCTATCATAGTTGCAGATGTTAGGAAATTGGACCAAATACATATATTGACCCAGGCTAAATATTCTAAATTGGCATTTTAAAATAGTCTCTGCTAAAACTGACCTTAATAATTAGTATGCGATAGTTTTGCCATAATAACAGACTATGCCTAAATCTCAGTGGCTTAACATATCACAGGCTGATTTCTGACACTGCCAGTCCCATGTGTGTTGGTTTGAGAGCTTGCTCATCACAATCACTCAGGGACCCATCCTGTTGGTATCTGCATCTCAACAAGCTTTTACGGTCACTCTGGTAAAGGGAAACAAACAAACATGGTGATTCACAACACAGGCTTTTATAGCTTCATATTTAATTGATATAGGTCAGTTCCACTCACATTTCGTTAGCCAAAGCAATGGAAATGTGGCCATGCCCCACTTCAAAGAGAGTAGGGAATTGCATTCCACAAATATATTGAAGGGAACGAGATTCTTTATAGCCTAAATGATTACCACAGTTCCCTCATGGTTTAATGTCTTCCTACTGAAAAGTAAGTCCCAAATCATCCAGATAATAAAAGGTTTTACTTAGACATATTCTATTTCATAAAGGCATTTGCATGTGCTTGCTGGGTTTTTTATTCATTAAATAATTTATATAGTAAGTGGTGCTGATAGCATTCCCTGTCACTAAAGAGTTCAAGCAGAGACCAGTTTGCCAAGTGGTAGGAGGCTGAAGAGAAGATTCTAGTACTACGTGAGTGACTGGACTAGGAGACCATTAACATTTCCTTATGACTCTGAATACCTGTCATTCCAAAGATGACAGTCCTAGTGACAACCATATATACTGAAGTATCTGGCATCTCCCAGCTTCTACCCCAGCTTTCCTCAATCTGCCACCTGCTTTGTGTTGTTTTCCAGACCACCTTGTTCCTATGCTGTATACCATGTGGTAACATCACGTGTTCCCTGTGAATTTCCCTGAGAATTAGCATTACAGTACTTTAAACCAAGCATTCTTCATAACGTTGAATGAATATACCAATACTTTAATCTTCATAGAATTTTACATTCTTGCCTTCCCTCATGGAGCATAAGCCCAGGCAACCATTCCAAGATAATGGCAGACTCTGAAGTGAACATACTATATTTGTAAGAACTATAAAAGATAGCATCTTGTCTAATGCAGTGTATTATTTTGCACAGGTAGCTGGTAAATTCATTCTTTGCTTTGTGATGCATTTTTCTGTCACTGAATTAATCCCTCTTTGAATATAATATCAACCAGTCTAGACCATCATTGATATGTGTGGCTGGCCAAGGTATTAGAATTTCTCTTGAATCTTAATTCCAAAATTACATGAAGCATAATTTCTAAGCTAATGCAGTGCTATAATAATTTAAGACAACTGCCATTCCAATCTATCTTGGAGCCTATAAAAACAGACTTTATAGGAAGTCTGCTTTTAAGAGGATGAAATATAAAATGGCAGTCTGTTGAGAGAGTAGCTTGGCAATGTTTAGCAAAATTTTCAAGACTTTGTATTCTTTTTAGACCCCAAAAGAACACTCCTAATAATCTATCTTACAGAAATAATCATGAATATGACAGATTTTACTGCAAGATAATTTATCACAAAATTGTTAATAATTATGAAAAATAAAATTCCTGATACTAAACTACAGAGTATTGGTTTTAAAATTCTTGTCCCTTTATATAGTGGACCACTATGCATTGATTAAAGAATTATATTGTTGGCCGGACGCGGCGGCTCACGCCTGTAATCCCAGCACTTTGGGAGGCCGAGGCGGGCGGATCACGAGGTCAGGAGATTGAGACCATCCTGGCTAACACGGTGAAACCACGTCTCTACTAAAAATATAAAAACAAAATTAGCTGGGCGTGGTGGCGGGTGCCTGTAGTCCCAGCTACTTGGGAGGCTGAGGCGGGAGAATGGCGTGAACCCGGGAGGCAGAGCTTGCAGTGAGCCGAGATCGGGCCACTGCACTCCAGCCTGGGCGACAGAGCAAGACTCTGTCTCAAAAAAAAAAAAAAATTGTTAAAGATTTAGCCTCGTGAGGAAATATTCAAATTAGATAGTTATGTGAATGCGGGAGGGAATGGCTTCAAAGCAGTATGTAATCTGAGTTTCCCCAGGCTTCGCCAGTACATGAATCTAGATGACAGTCATGGTATCAGTAAGAATTAAAACACCAGCATCTATTGCTCAGACCTGTTCACAGAGGATTCCAACAGCTCTACACAATTGCCAGGTTGAGCCTGAGATTTTCATCTGTGTTCATGAAGCAGTCTCTTGCCTTGTTACCCAGAGAACTAGCCACCTTTTTCTTTGTCAATTTTGGTCACGCGTATCTGTTTCCTCAAGCAAAGAAACCATGTAAAGTTGCCTCACCCTGCCATTGCTAGCGTTACTCACAGGAAGTATGCTAATATTGACCCACTAGTATTATACTTTCTCCACACAGAGCCGGGAAGAAGCCCTGCTCCCAAACTTGATGTCTCACTGTCACCTGAACATCAGTGGGGTGCTGTGTCTTAAGGGCAAATATTTAAGGCAGACTTCCATGTCTTTCCTACTATCATTTTTTCTTCTACTTTCTCTATGCAGATTAATTCATAAAAATGGCTTTTGTGAACCATCAGACTCACTAACTTCTCAGATATGCCAGGTGTGTTGGTCATGGCAATAGATATTGCAGGCTCCAAGCCAGATAACCTCTCCAGTCCAACCGGGCAAGACAGATGTAAAATGTGATGCCTTTTTGGAACTATGTGCCTATCAAGTGTATGCCTATAAAGAAAAGGTATGCACCAAAATCAGTGTCTGTTTCTGGGTGTTGGGATTAAAAACACATTTTCTGCGTTGAACTTGTATTACTTTTTATCAGAAGAAATAAAATAACTATGTTTAAAGACTGCATTAAATTATTGATGTGTGTAGTATGAAATACAGAATTCTTTATACAAAGTTACAGACTGGTTATGTCTTCTGCAATTTGAAAACTATTTATATTCACAAAAGATCCAAAGACATATCATTTCTCAAAGCACAATAGAAATAATGAGAGTTGCTCTTTCTAATACCCAATTGTTTTTACAAGACATTCTATGTGGTTTTCACCAGTGCCAAGCCTTAGGGAGTATGACTATAAATAATTATACTCACATTTCACTTGTCAGTCTTGTTTAGGAAAATAAATAATACTTGAGTACTCTGAATTTCTTTTATTTTAGATTAATAAATTGTTCATTATGTAAAATAGTTTTCCTTATCTTCAGTCTTAGTACTATATTTTCTACATATACTTGTGTATGTAGCTCTGGCCAGCATACCCACTGATACTCAGTCTTTGTGGTGCATGTACATCAGTAAACAATCTGTGCCCTACTCCCATCCCCATGAACCTACCACCACTAAAAACATCCCTCCCCACAGTTAATGATAAAAGCATAGACTCTTAGAGCTACATGGGGCCTTAGATCACTTATGCAAATCCCTCGTTTCAGATAACGTAACAGGTTCATAGAGGTTAAGTAACTTGTCTAAGATCATACAACTGATTATTAACGGAGTCACAACCAAACCTGCAGGTCTTGATTCTGTCCTAATCAATGACAAATTTCATACTCAAAAATTTCAAAAACATAACTATAAAACTTATTTCAGAATGTTTATAGCAAGAATGATTTCATAATGGGCAGTGTGGTGTATCTTCACATACATAACATGATGAGAGGTGGAGCCTTCAAGATTAGGAGAGCCTAGGGTCTGCAAAGATCCTACAGGAGCTTCCAGTCACCTGTCTGAAGGGGTCAGGAAAGCCAACCAGAGGAATTTACATGTAGACCAATACCTGAAGACGGTGAGGTGGTATTCAAGTGAAGGCATAGGCTCATGGGAGAAGGGCTTCAGAAGGAAAGGATAGTGTGGCATGGACCAAGACCTATAAAGGTACTGAGAATTTGAAGAGCTAAAAGAGTTTCAAGGCTGGAGCTTAGAGGATGAGACAGGGAGTAGTGACAGAGGAGACTGGCAAGGTAGGCAGAGGCCAAATCATGCAGTAACTTGCAGGCCAGATTATGCAGTGTATTTATCGTAAGGGCTTTGGGAAACAAGAGCATTCTTGAATATTTTGAGTTTAGACCTTACCTGGTGATATGAGATCACAGAAGTGGTGCTGAGAACCTGGAGCCATGGAAAGGAGACATGAGCTGAGATTTTCACTATATACAATAGATACCATATTCCTTCAGACTGCAGAATATCTTTCTCACAGGGGAACAAGTGTCATGGCCCCAGTGCTCTCACTGCCCACTTTCCGTAATACATAGTAGACAGATAAAAATGTGAAAGGAACTCAGTTATTGAAAAACTTCTGAATATAAGGGACTGCATTCTGAACGACTATGTCACCCTTTCTTATAACTCAGGAAACTTAAAAACACAATCTCAATGGTTGGCCTAACTTTGATACTTTGCAAAGCTGCTTTAGTTTATCTGCTAGTCCCTGTGGCAGGGGCTTGAAAATATTTTCCCAAGATTTCTAACCAGCATATGTAAGTACAATAACTTTATTCTCTGTCCTAATGTCAACTCTTCTGTCCTATTTTCCCCATAAATTTACTCCTTCAGCAGACCATGTGTTAGAAAAATGCGGTCACTCTAGCATAAGGGTATCTGATACTTTTTCTCCTGATGCATGATCTGTTGGATATAAAAGTGATTTGTTTCCCCATATAAATGATTTTTCAGAATTGGACTGGCAAAGTGTTAACTCATCCATATACTCATTATATTTTCTTTAGGAGCAACAGCTTATATTTGAGGACTGAGACACAGAAAAATAAGGTACATCTATGCCTGAGATAGAGATCTTTATCTCTGAGGTACTAGTTAGCCTGTATGGAGATTCATTAATAGCCTTTGGTTTCACTAGCACACTTTTTTCATACTGCAGCACACAGACCACCTGCTTTGGAGTGATTGGAGTTCTTGTTAAAATTCTGAACCCAACCACTGATTTTAATCAGAATGGGACGAAACTAGAGATTTGCATTTTATAAGTTTTCAGGTCATTCCAGTAAAGCTTGAGAACTAAATGAATAAAGAACCTCACTGTGGGAAGGTACACCAGTAGAGTGTGGGAGATGCTCATTTTCTCATGATCTATCCCCAGGGGCCTTGCAAACAGTTCTGGAACAGATAGGATTCTCTGTCCTCTGCCTGAGGCTGTTCTCCAGCTGTAGGAACATGCTAGGGCAACAAATAGACTATAATTGACGGGGCATTGGCAGGCTCAGGAGCAGTCCTCAACTAAAGAAGGAGGGGTGATGGTAGATAAATAATCCAGCTTCCTCATTCCTCAGTGGGACAATTCACAGGAGTTTGATATAGTCTCTGAGAGGGTACCAGCAAAATAGAATGCCAGTTGCCCATAGTGATAACACACTCATTAATGGACCTCATTGGCTTCCCTCCCTTTCCCATCCTATCCCATCCCTTTGGGAAGTGATCCCATCCAACATGTTTCCTGGGATCACTTCACAAATAAAGTGCTTACACCCACATCATTGTTTCAAAGTTCACTTTATGGGAAACCCAGTAAGGCAGAGAATACATACAGAGTGGAAAAACTTTATTCTAACAAAACTAGGTGATACGATTTGAAGGATAGAGGGCTAAAACAATTTTTAAAGAGATTTGAATTAAATCTGAGAGCTATGTGATCCAGGGTACTTATTACCTAATTAAAACTAAGTCAGTGTAGACAATTTCATTTTGTTTATTTTTCATGTTGTATGCCATTATTTCTGTGTAGGTCCCCATCCTTCTGTGAAATTTAATGGGTTCCACATCCTACCCAACCAACGCATTTTAATCATTTGATATTAAACCCTGCAACTTTTCCTTGAGAACATCTTCAGATTTTCTGGGGATAAATGTTTGGTATACATTGCATAGAATGTAGATAACTTAAAAATTCATTAATTTTCTTTTGATAGTAGATAAAATAATCACAGAAAAAAAGTAAAGACTCATTTTCCCTGGAACTACATGTTATTAGACCCAATTTCCCAATCTGTTTGTGCTGCTATAAGAAAATATATGAGCCTGAGTAAATCATAAAAAACAGAAAAGTATTTTTCATGGTTCTGGAGGCTGGAAAGTCCAAGAACAAGGTGCCAGCAAAGTATTTTTCACGGTTCTGGGGACTGGGAATTCCACGGTCAAGCTTGTCTGGTAAGGGCTGCATCCTCTGGAGGGGACAAACACCATGTCCTCACATGACAGGACAAAAGGCCAAGACAGCTGAATGCTGTATGAAGCCTCTTTCATAAGGACCTAAATTCTATTTATGAGAGAGGAGCCCTCATAGTCTAATCACCTTTTAAAGATCCCATCTCTCAATACTACCACTTTGGCCATTAAGTTTCAACACCTGAACTTTGGAGGAGACATATTGAAACCATTAGCACCTAATAATTGCAACTCTGTACTGTTAAAATATAAGTTCCTCTTAGCTGATATTTCCTCAGACTCTTCTTTGGCATCTCCTAAGATGAAACACTTTGAAGCTAAAATATAGTATGCTTTATTTTCAGCTCTGGAGTAAGACAGCATGGTATTTTAGGGAAAGTTTGGATTTGAGGGTCTGACAAAATATCTGTGTGACCTTCAGCAGGTTACTGACCATCTCGGACTTTCAGTTTTCTAAACTATAAAAAGGTAATAATGATAATACCTGCTTTACTAGCCTGTTTTCAGAGTTAAATAGAGTTTTTAAGGTGCCTAGAACCTGGCAGGCTACATTCTCAGTAATCATTAGCTTACAAGACAATCCAGCTAGAGCAAATATGAAAAAGCTAGCCTTGTATCAGTTCACGGGTATTCTTCAGGTTTCTTATCACATAGTTTTATTCAACTTGCTCTATTATGTCATTTATTCAACAACTCATCTTGGGTTAAGAGTTATTTATAGGATTCTGTGTGGTGAACGTCTGTGACCTGCAAACATGTGATTGACTTTGGCATGATTCCTAGCTCAAGTGAAAGCTCAAAGGGCTGGCTTCTCAACCTAATGACATACACAGAATTTATTCAGTTTGTTTGCTTCCCACAGAAATTAGCATACTTTGACATAACTGAATGAAAAGAAAAAACAGATAGTTTTGACTCTCTTCAAACACAAGATGCAAAATAGGGAATTAATCAGGTCCAACCAGTTTGGAGGTTTATGTGACCACTCTTGCCACTAAAAAACAAGAAGTTGCATGAAATTTTTCCCTTTGGATCGGTCATGCAAATTTGCATTGTATAAGCAATCACAAATTCTGTGACACATGCTTCCAAGGAAAATTAAGACCTTGGTTGGTTGTTTAATGTGCATAATGTGACTGCTTAGCGTATTTGAGAATGTCATGCTATAGAGAATTTCATGGTAAGTTCTTATTGGCAAATTCTGTTCACTGTGGGAATCCTTTATTTGTGAAAATATTTTTATCACATACATCCCTTATCCTCCAAAAATATTTTGTCTTCTCTTGTCTTACCTATGTGGTTGCATATTTAGAAGTCTAGTTATCCCTCCCTGGCCTCAACCTTTTGAGGGCTGGGGTAATATCATTTCCATCTTCATATCCCTCAAGGCTTGCTATTGAACAGTTATGTGCACAAAGCATATGCTTGTCTTAGACTGGATTCCTCCAGAAGCCAACCGTAAAATGAGGATTTGAATGCAAGTAGTTTATCTGGGTGGTAATCCCAGAAAGTACTATAGAGAGCACAGAAATGGAAAAGAAATGAAGCTGATACAGGGTGCATTAAAGAGCACCTCTCATTGTGGAGAAATGGGGCTCTGTGCATGCTAGGGATTTCTAGAAGGCTGCCAGAATATGCCTCAGCATTCTCCCAGCTGAGGGGCAAGAAAGCTGGAATATCTGTCATATGGTAGCTACATTGTTGTTTGAGGTTTATTCCCAGAGGCATTGAATTTTGGGTACTTTGGCCAGCCTTGCATATAGTCAGTGTACTTCTGAATCTCAGAAAACCCTCAGGCACAGATTCGCTCTTGTAAGAAAATGGTGAGTACCAAGGGACTAGGGCAGGGCACTAGCTGCCTCTGCAGTAATGCTCAATAAACTCCTATTGCACAGAATTGAATGGAAGTTGCTGAGAGCTATAAGAAATATCAAATAATCCCAAGACCTCAAATCATCGATTTTTTACAAACCTCTTGCAGATACATGTTTTAAACAGTATCAACTCTGTCATTACTAAATGATTTGGGGGCAGTGCCACCTCTAAATGCAGTGAGGCAGTTTTTCTTCAGACACAGTATTCTTTCACATTATTGGTATGTCTTCTATAACCAGGCTATGTTACAGATGGAGCAAGATGGAGCAATAAAAGTATTAGATTGGTGCAAAAGTAATTGCTGTTTTTGCCATTACTTTTAAAGCATAACTTTTATGCTCTTTAAACCAAGCTATATAGGATTTAAGCAGAGACCTTAGGGGGGGAAAAAGACTTTATGGTCCTTTGGAAACAGTGCTGGGCCAGGAATCAGGGAATTTGGATTTTCATCTTCATTCTTGTGTAAACTTGTAGCCATATGGCCTTGAAGAAATCACTTTGAAGCTTCTAGACTTCATTTTGCTCATCTGTAAAATGTACATATTGAACACTTAAGGTTTCTTCCAGATTCAAGCATAATGATCCTATGAAATAAGGCAATGGGACTTATAAAATTTATGTGGATCTAGTAGAAATTGGGAGGAAAAAAATGGACATCTGTGCAAACACATATATCTATGTGTGATGTGTATATATATGTCTATATACACATTAGATACATTATATATCTATATACACATTATATAGATATGTTATATATCTATCTATATATATAGACAGATATATAACTTCAGAAGTTATTTTTACTCTAAAATTAAAAGACAAATTTTATGGCATTCAGAATGTGATTTGCAAATTTTTTTTCTCTTTTTTCCTGAAAGCAAATATTCTCTACCACTTGGAAATGAGAATGTGTTTTCCATGTAGGATCAGAATAGGGAAAGGAATTTGAGAAAGAGTTATGTCTTTGTTTTTCTTATTACTGGCCTGATTAAGTGGTCTGTAAAGATAAATATCAGTGGAAACTTTGTGTGGATGTACTAAGATTGCTTCCCCTGTAACGCAAGTTTCTCTTCATTTCCCATTAGTCTTCAGAATTATACCAGTATAAAAGGATTCCCTATCTTTTAGTGTTGCAGTTTACTGAGTTAACCTAAGCTTGGTCTCATAACCCAATATAAATGCAAGATTTTTTGTTATTTGTTTTCAAGAGGTAGAGTGGTGTGAAAGGGGTAGTAGCAACCAGCTCAAGCCCATTGGAGATTTGTAGGGCTCACCTGCCCCAACCTCTATTTCCTAGAGGACTTTATGTCACACTATGAATAAGGGAAATCAGGAGTTTCAAGATAAGCATGAAAATCATATTGTACTGGAGATGGCAAAGAAAAGGCAATTCACATTCTAGACCAGCACTAAACCCAATCATCTCTGGCTTTGACCTTCCCACCTGGATCCTCTCCACCTGAATGCCTAGGCTTTGCTGATGTTTAGGTGAAGATGCTGAGTATGATTAGCTCTGATTTTAAGTTCCAGCCAGCCATATTGATGAGCATTCTGCAGCTGCTGTTTCCGTATATTGAGAAAGCAAAGCCACGGTTGGGCTCTTCTGTTAGGGCTTGGCTACTGTGTGCACTTCCCTGGAGACCAACCCCACTCCAAACTGGGTCTTGAGGGCTCTGGGAGTACTGAATGGATTTCTAAGCTTCTCTAGTATCTCTAAGGTGTTGGTATTTTCTTACTGGGCTACTATGAATGAGATCCCAAAAGACCTGCCAGTCAAATTCAACTTTCAACTTTTTAAGAACTGAGAACATTTAGGTATATGAGATGCTCACCCCAGTCCAGTCTAGTCTACCACAAATTAAAGTGAGTAAGACTCAATTTTACTAGGGTCCCTGAAAGAAGTTTAGGTTCTATCTTTGGAGAGAAGGTTTGTGTATATGGTGTGGACGGGGAGGGGGAGGGAAATGGGGAGGAGAAATGTGGTAACCAACTCATTCTATAGTTGCATGTGGATTTTATTTTTGTACCCTTTAAGGTACTCATGTCTCAAAGTTTTAAGTCCCTATTAGAAGAAAGAATGGAGTCATTACTGCTCACAAAATCCTTATGTATCTATTAGGGGGCTTCATAAGATCAATGCATGCTTTTATTTCTTTTGGCAGGTATCTTACTCTACCCTGAAGGCATTAGAGCAGTGGTTTTAAAACTTCAGTATGCATGAGAATCACTAGGAGAGTTAAAAAATGTAGATTCCTGATTCTCCTCTCAAAGACCAGATTCAGGAAAAGCGGTTGATTAGAAATTTAAATTTTAAATAATTGCCCCACCTGATGCTAAATGCTGTTGGCAGGTGGATCTTATTTTTTGAGAAAAACTATTTTAGAGAAGCTCATATGATGTTTTTGAAAAATCTCTTCACCTAGAAGGGGCCTTGTCAATGCCAGAAATTGGATGTTTCTAAGAAGACATAAATCATGAATAAGTAATGCATTGCTATCTACAGGAAAATAAATAGTAGGTATGAGATGTTCATCTGAAAGTCGTTGTTATTTGGGGACATCATATGTATTTAAACATTTTGTTTTGTATGTTCACCTTTTTTTGATGTTCATAAAGTTTACATTGACAAATTTCCTTTAGGTATGGCAAATATAACCACTTAAGAGCTCTGTCATGTCATAGACTAGCCTGCAACCTTAAAACTGTTCAATCAGATTTTATGTAACAAACATTTATTAAATACCTACTTATTGAAACTTTTCTTTATGCTGGGCCGTATGCCAGGCACTGAAGTGATATCATATTTGAACTCTCCTGTAAATGGTCTATGAGTGTCCTGTACTTACAGGCTTGTGTAAAATAGCACAGGTTCAGACAAACATGAGTTTTACTAAAGCAAAGAGGTGCTGCTTACTTAGTTTTAGTCAGCTTAGTTATCATAATCTTTCCTATAACTGGGAAGAAGGATATGATCTATATCTCCTCAGAGAGACTGTCAACTGATGGTGGGAAGAGGGTAAGACAGTCATGAGGGTGGGGAGAGTGTGCCCACAAATTATACCATCACAGTGCCCCAAAGATTCTGGCAAATGGGAGAATTGTTAAAGTCTTAGTGAATACAGAATTTAGGGGAACTAGCTCATTTCTCAAAAATGATGGGATTGAAAAAGATTTTAAAACTATTGACCTGTAATGATTTCGGGAGGCATTTTTAAACTTAGGACTTTGTAAATACAACAATTATCTGTGAATGTTTGAATCCATACTCATACTCAGGACAGGAAGATATTCAGGACCAAGTCTTGTGACATACACAATACACATGTGATTTCCAGGTTCATACTCTCAACCTGATGGTTAACTTTCTGGAAGTTCTCCTTTGAGTACAGATTATGCTGTAGGACTATATCTGAAAATGCATAGTAAAATGCCTGCTGTTTTGATCTATTAACCCTAGACTCCATTTGTTCTACTCTGCAGCCTGAGCTTTCTCCCAGAGTCTGAGCTCTCTGCTTGCTGTTTAGGTGCCTTTTCTGTTCTGTGCTTTTGAGTTGTGGGCACATTGCCCAACCCTCTCTTGATCCACAGCAAGGGGGCAGAGGTGGGGATGGAGGACAGGATTGGTTTAAACTTGGCTCACTTACCAGCAGAGTCTCTTCTTGAAAAGGGTTGGACATGAAAAATTGATTCAGCTCCCAACTACAACACCTAGGTAGGTTTTCCTGTTCATCTGTTGAATGTCTACCCATATGTGAGCTAATTATATTTTCCCTGTAACTACTATCCATACCTGAAAGTACTCATTCCTCCAGAACTCAGAGCTGCTTCAAGGACCAAGCTGCACCAGGGCCAAAGAGATTTCAAGCACCACCAGGACCTTGACATCCTTTCTAATGGCATAGAGTGGACCACCAGAGAAACCCCTCCATTGCCAAGCCAGGACTTATAGGGAATATAACCCCTGGCACTGAAATCCTTCAAAAAGGGACATCACCTACCCCTTTCCACCCTAGGTTTGGAATATAAACATGCAATAAGTACTAAGATATTTTTCCTCTGTGATTTGCATTATCCTATTTTCCAGATTGTACCTTTTATAATTTATAATTATCTTAATTTTTATTTGCCTACTTTTTTATTGTGTGTATATATCTTTCACAGACTATAAACTCCATATCTGACAAATGCAAAATACTGAATAAATATTGGCTCAGGGAATGAGTAGATAAACCTTTAAAAAAAATCTAAATATTCAAACTTTTTCTTTCCCCTCACTAATTCCTCTTAAAAAAGGAAGGAAAATGAGACAGGAAAGGAACTAGAAGCATTAGACCAGATTACCTGCAGTATTATTATTGCCCTCTACACTTTAGTTGTACCTAAATTGGAAGAACGAAGCAAAGCTGTCTTCAAACCCTTTATTCCTTAGTTCAGTTTTTTTCAAAGCCCGAATGGGGATTGGCAGTCTTCATGCTCTGAACAATTGGGTATTCTTTTTTCTTAGAGCCCAGATGCATTTTTTTGAAAGTCGTTCCAGGGGCCTGAGATGAAGTGGGGGTGTGAGAAGTAAGTTGGCTAGGGCAGATAGAACCTAAGTGTCTTCTCCTTAAGTCAGCTCCCCTTACGAGGCTGTATGATACTGGGCCACCCCCATTCACCGTGGAAAACAAACCCATCACTAATGGACTGTATTTTGGCATATGAAGTAGTCAAAGACAATTCCTGATAGAACCATTATCTACCTGTGTGGTCCTTCAAGAATTAGAGGAAGAAGAATTCTGTGCCTCTGAGAGATTTTGAAAAAAGAAAGAGTGCTTCTGGGGGGACTAGAGGACAGAATATATATCCAGAAGGAGATTATAAGAGAACTAGGTAAACAGGACCACAGAAGGACTTCCAAGAGCCTAAGGAAAGGTCTCAAATGAAAAGCTAGAGGTCCTATTCTACCTACAAACGTATTTCATTTGGGTCACACAGTGCTTATCAGGAAATCCAAATTCTGATGCCTCCTGCAAAGTTGAAAGATCTGGTAACACTGGGATCACATCCCATAGAGCAACAATATCCTAAAGCTGGGGTGCAGCTCCCCCTTAAAAGGGAGCATATATTTTTTGGTTAGCCAAGTCTCACTACTACCTGTTACCTTATATTCTCCCAATTTTACTCATTTATATTGGTTCCAGTAGGCTGTGAGATTTCAATTTTCATCTATGGAATAGATTTAGGATTTTTAAGGGGACAGTGTAGAAGTGAATGCATAGTCACTGTTTGCCTGACTCCACTGGATAGAAGCAAAGGCTCTGAGAAGGTGTGGTTGTCACACAGTGATTAAAGTCCTCTGGAGACACACATGGAGAATGTCTCTTGAACCTGAGCATTTGTCAGTGATGGAAAATTTCCTGGTGAATTTTTCACTCCTTGGTGATAGTTTTCTTTGTTAACATCCTAGGCTTTGCATTTTCGTCAATTTGTGCTGATGTCTCTGTAAACACTCTTACCTCTTTTGGACATTACAGCTATTCTTTAATCTTTATACTTCAACCTTCATTTGTTCCAAGTGGCTAAGTAGCTCTCTACTGGAAAATTTGCTTAGTCTCAGCAAATGTGCCTGTTATTAGTTCAGATTAGTTTTGCCAAATCACTGAATATAATATCCTTGGGGTAGAATAAATTAATACATTTGTAAAGGTAATTCCACTAAGTTTTCTTTTTCACAGCAGTCAGAAAAAGGAAATAGAACATTTATAATGGAGCCTTTGGAGTGGTTTTCTAAAAGACCCACAAAAATTCTAATTCATTGTAATTTGGTACCTTTCACATTTACAGAGACAGATCATACTGGCCACTTCCACATCCTTTAGTGCTTCCCACCTTTGGCCAGGCTAAGAGAAAAGAAGGATCTAACTTGGGCATGCCATTTAGTCTGTCTGTGCCTTGGTTTCCTCATTCACTTACTGTCATTTATTGAGCACATGTGGAGTGTATTGGGCAAGAAAGGAGGCCTACCCTCAGCTCAGAAACTAATAAACTGAAAGAATTCATTTTAAAAAATTGTTTTTCTGAAAGTGGGGTCCCAGACCAGTAGCATCATCATTACCTGGGAACTTTTTAGAAAAGCAAATTCTCAACACCCACTTCAAATGTAATGAATCAGAAAGTCTGTGGGGTAGGGCCCAGTAATTCGTGTTTTAACAAGCCCTCCAGGTGATTGTAACAAGCATAAATATTTGAGAATGTGTGTGTTCTGTGTTCCATTTACAGAAACTATGTGAGTTTCTCCACAAAGCTTTCTCTGAAATGAAATGAATAAACTAAGCATGAGGTCTGTGGATTCAAAGAGGTGGACTTTTTCCTCTGTGAATTTTTCCCGTCTGGCAGATATGTGTGGGTAACTCAGCGTAGCTGTGTTATAGACAGGACCAACCTTAATTGTGGAATGAATGAAACACCTTTGCTCCTTATCTATCACTCCCTTTAGGGTCGTTTCTTGGATTTCTTGGCCCCTTCAGTCCATCAGCACCTCCACAGCCCAACAATCTGTGCTTCTTCCCTTTATAAAGCCCCCTTTTTATTGTTTATTCATTAGAAAGATAGGATCTACCAATCACATGAGGGACTGATGTTTGTTTTAAACCATGAAGATGAATAGGGTAAAACCTGCAACATAGTTTGAGTAATTGACACTGCAGTTTTCTTGCTAGCCAAACTATTTGATTTCCACATCAAATCAATGTCAAGGAATCTGACTATTCCGGGTTTGTTCATTTTTCAGCTACTGAGGTAGTCACTCTAACGAATTACTGCAAATGTGGATAATTTTTTAGCGAGAAGTTTTAAAAATAGCACATCAGCTATGTTCTGGGTCACAGCCTCGCTGATCTAATCATTTGCTCTGTCTTCAAGATTGACATTGATTCCTGCAGACAGTTTGATTGTGCAGTGACTGTTAACCCAGGTATAAGCCCAGGAATAATGTTGTCTTAGATGTGAAAAATGAGCCATACTTCCTGGAAGTATATGGATTACTTTCATAACCTTGTAAGTTTCCTTCAGATGTAGGATTATTTTTAGAATTATAAAACCAAATGTTACATACATTTTTTTATGTCCTGATAATTGCTTTAAGTTGTGGTCATCAACCATGCTTTGCTAACACTACAAATAGTGGCTAGTGCTGCAGTACAATATACAGTGGCATTTTGTCATAGCAAAAGTACTTCTGGCTTAGTGAGGTATGAATTGCATATACCTTGAAGAAATTAATGTAGCCCCTGCTATTTCTTTAGAGTACTGCAGAGATCATCTGGTATAAGACAGGAGTATGAGAAGATAATAACACCAGAAACTTAGGAATCCTTAATCCAGGGGCTCAGGGGTTCCCTGGGCTCTGTGGGGCTTTGTATGGGAAGTAAGCAGTGGTTAAACAACAGACTGGGAAGACAAGTCTGTGCCTCGCCATTCCCACCCACTCTCTTGAGTCTTCTGCAGGGGGTACTTGACTTTTTTTTCTTTCTCTCATTCTTTATGACAGACTATAAGAGGATTCATAGTCTCCAATCAATTTTTCTTCAAAATTTGGCCTTGCGTCATATGAATATGATGGATTTGACACATTTATGTTGATCAATTTTGTTGATAAAAATGGAGAGGCATTTAAAATCTAGAATTTAGAAGAAGAATGCAATCTACTGCTTTATCTTTACCATGGAAGTGGGTATCCTTCCATTTTTAATTGTAATTGAACTTAATATTATATTCATCCTATTATTATAATTACAGTTTTGTTTTGTTTTGTTTTGTTTTTGAGACGGAGTCTCGCTCTGTCGCCCAGGCTGGAGTGCAGTGGCGCGATCTCAGCTCACTGCAAGCTCCGCCTCCTGGGTTCACACCATTCTCCTGCCTCAGCATCCCGAGTAGCTGGGACTACAGGCGCCTGCCACCACGCCTGGCTAATTTTTTGTATTTTTAGTAGAAACGGGGTTTCACCATGTTAGCCAGGATGGTCTCGATCTCCTGACCTCACGATCCACCTGCCTCGACCTCCCAAAGTGCTGGGATTACAGGCGTAAGCCACCGCCCCCGGCCTATAATTATGGTTTTATTGCCCCTGGTTAAGTTCAGAATTAAGATGTTGATGCTGAAATTAATGTTCAGAAAAGATAGGGGATTTCACAAGGGGTCACCTACTCAGTCAGAAATAAGATTCATTAAGATGGTAAGAAAAAAAGGCAGCCCCTGCCACCCAGGAGCTGTCCTAGTACTATCAACCGGGCCTTGGTGTTCTCAGATGAACACAAAACATTTCATACACACCATCATCAAACAAGGCTATTCTATGACCATGATGGATCAAGACAAAAACAAGACTACTCTGAATTCACATCTGAAAACAGAGAAAACATTGTCCAAATCAAAAAATATGAAACATTTACCTGTCTTATCTAATGAGTGACTGAGATATCTAAGACCACACAGTCCCATGGTGTGCATCATCCCTTGCTGCAACAAGCAAACCAAACTTGGTTCAACTCTAGGGGTTTCCTGGTGGTCTTTGGCCAGAAAATATTCTATAAATGAGCTAATTACTCAGTTGTGTCCATTCTGGGAAACAAATCTGAATTCTACTAGTTAGGCCCACCTCCTTAACACTAGGCCTGGCATGTTCTTAAAGCAACTCTGTCCCTCTCTGTGACTTCAGTTCTTCTGGGAGATTTATTATTAATGGGCTCATATGATGAAAAGATTTTAGTCTTTTGGACAGAAGGAGTAACTTTCTTCTTAGAATCCAAACTAAAAATGGATCTTTCATTTATAAATGATAATAGCTAACAGCTAATACTATATATCAGGCACCGAGCTAAGTATTTTACATAAATTGTTTTAATCCTTGTAACAAGCCTATGAAATGGATATTATTACCACCTCCACTTTACATACAAGGAAACAAATACAGAGAGGTGAATTAAATTGGCCAAGATTATACAGCTAATGGTAAAGTTAGGGCTCAAATTCAAGTTGTTCTAACACTACATCCTTTGCTTTTTTTGCTGTGAGATTTTTTTTTTCTTAGACACCTAGGTTGCTTCCAAATCTTGGCTATTGTTTGTTTGTTTGTTTCTGAGATGGAGTCTCGCTCTGTCACCCAGGCTGGAGTACAGTGGTGTGATCTCGGCTCACTGTAACCTCTGCTTCCTGGGTTCAAGTGATTCTCCTGCCTCAGCCTCCCTAGTAGCTGGGATTACAGACATGTGCCACCATGCCTGGCCAATTTTTGTATTTTTAGTAGAGATGGGGTTTCACCATGTTGGCCAGGCTGTTCTCAAACTCCTGACCTCCAGTGATCTGCCTGCCTCAGACTCCCAAAGTGCTGGGATTACAGTCATGGGCCACCACTCCCGGCCACATCTTTTGCTCTTCACTCACATTCCGTTGCTTTTGAGATGCCTTCTCTTCCCTAAAATCTGATAGTAGTAAATCAAAATGCCAGCTATATACAGAGTAACATACATGATTCCAGAAGATCATAATAATAATTGTCAAAATATTTGCATATTTTATCTTATGGTAAATGTAATTTCCAACATCATTCTTCTTAGTACAATAATGAGTCCAGTGATCAAACTCTTGAGAGAAAAATGCACTGTTGTCAGTATATAACTATAGGTTTCAGATTATATAAACAGGTATTGTCAGATGTATATTCTCTGAGTTATCAAGGATCATTGTGTAACTATATAGGAAGTTGTCTTCTTTGAATATGGTAGACATATCTATATTGAAAGGAATGAGAGATATCTGTAACGTGAGGATTGAGTACAAGTGTATGATGATGTTGTCAGTTGTAACACGTTTCCTGTGTAATTCTCTTCCTCACTGGTAATAGCTTGTTGAGTATTTTTATCTAGAAGTGCCACTCAGTTTGCCCTAGAGTATTTTATTTCTTTTATGCCAGTCATTCTCATTCTTCACTGTTCTCTGCCTGTTGTAGTCATAAATAGTTTACATAAATTAACTTGTTTTAGTCCTTGTAACAAGCCTATGAAGTGAATGCTATTATTGCCTTCACTTTACAGATGAGGACACTGCAATATAGAGAGGTGAATTAAATTGCCCAAGATGATTATAGCTAATGGTGAAACTAGGGTTCAAATTCATGGTGGTTTTATTCCTATCTAATAGTCTACTCGATCATTCCTTTAATGCAAACTTACCATTCTTCTACAGTTTATCAGAATTTTTATAATAGTTTAGCCATTTTTATACCTCTTCAAACCTTTAAACATTTGATCCATGTTAGTTACTAAATCAAGAGCTTATTTGAATATCCAAAAATGCATAACATAGTTTAAGTAAGCAACCAGAAAGAGATAAAATCCTTAAAAATACTTTTTAAAAGCACTATATTAAATTCAAAATAAGGAATCTGTTTAAATTTCATATTATGTGGAAATTCTAAGGTTATTAAAATAGTAAAAGTGCAGAAGCATATAAAATTTGTAAATACATTACCTTTCTGTCATTTTTCAATGTCAACTTTATAAATTAAAAGGTATGGTTTAAACATGGTTACTGTGTGCTTTCATGTCCATTATCTGGAGCAATCATGGGAAAACCTATGACCACCTGAGTCTTTAGGATATATCTTAGCATTTTGTTTATAGGATACTCTTTATCAATTCCTACTTTATACCATTTGGTTTGCAATTCATTTTTATGATCCTTCCATTCCTCCATATTGCCAATCAGATTCTAAAGCTGATGTTTGGTACTTAACAAGGAAAATACACTGTGAAAAAAACAGAGGGAAACTTAGTTTAATCATAAGCCCCTCAAATGCAAATGTATCATTGTCTTAATGTAATTCACATAAGGTTAAATACTGAAAGAAATAAAGGTTATAATTGAATTAAATAATTTCTTTCATCAGTATTGTATCCCTTAATGCAAACTTCTATGACTCCTTATATTCATAGAAAGAACCAGGAACATGGGTCAGTTTACAGAGAAGTGTTTGGCTACAGTTCTGATCTCTGAAGAGAATGTGCAATTCAGTCACTCTTGACTGCTCTGTAAGGCCTCCAGAAAAATCTGTATAAAGAGATGGATGAGGTGACAAGACAGATGCTGGTAATAAAAAAGGGAGCTTAGGGATTGCTATCACTGAAGGACTGAAGGACTGAGGATTAGGTCAGAAATATTTTTGTTCAAGTCCATTCAAGAATCAATCACATTCTGCAGGAATGCTGGGGAAAATTACAATTTGACCTGCTACAGAGGTACCTTATATCCTTGAATAGCTCCTTATACTTCAATAAGCTTAAGTACATCATGGCACTGCCAACATATTCTAACTAGCTAGCACATACCCAGCACTTTGTCATGTCACATTAATTTTTAGAGGTTTATTATATATGTGATAGGTGTGTAGATATATACACATGCACACACACACATATACACACACGTGAATGTACTGTGTAATAAAATCAAAACGCCAGTAGTAAGTATTTTAAGACAAAAATCTGGAGCTTAAATTTTCATTCAGAAAGTCATTAAAAGTTGTTATTTTTAACTTAAATGATAAATATTCTAAAGAACATTTTGCTCAATTGAGAAATAATTCACACCTTTAATTCTATCAGCATTATTCATTAAATTGGTTTGGAAGTCCAACCCTATGCTCTCAAAACTAAACAAAAATAAACATTGGAAAGAATCAACAAACTATATTACTTTATAGCTTGAAAAGCTAAAGGAGGGGTCAGGTGCGGTGCATCATGCCTGTAATCCCAGCACTTGGGGAGGCCGAGGCAGGCAGATCACTTGAGGTCAGGAGTTCAAGACCAGCCTGGCCAACATGGTGAAATCTTGTCTCTACTAAAAATACAAAACTTAGCCAGGCATGGTGGCAGGCACTTGTAATCCCAGCTACTCAGGAGGCTGAGGCAGGAGAATCACCTGAACCTGGGAGGCAGACGTTGTAGTCAGCTGAGATCACGCCACTGCACTCCAGCCTGGGTGACAGAGTAAGACTCCATGAAATTAAAAAAAAAAAAAAAGAAAGAAAAGAAAAAAGCTAAAGGGACCAGATAAACTCTCCTGAAATTTTATGTTTGTAATAGTAAAGTTATTTGAAATGTTAAAAGAAAAACTTTAGTCAAACTAAATTTAGCAGAGTTTATCTGAACAAAGAAACAGTGATTTATGAATTGTCCAGTGCTCAGAACCAGGAGAGGTTCAGAAAGCTTTACCTAGCAACGTAGGCAGGCAGCAACATTGTGCTACCTGATACTAGGTCTTTTTTTATTTTTTTTTGGAGACAGAGTTTTGCTGTGTCTCCCAGGCTGGAGTGCAGTGGCACCATCTCGGCTCACTGCAACCTCCGCCTCCCGGGTTCAAGGGATTCTCCTGCCTCAGCCTCCTGAGTAGCTGAGATCACAGGGCGTGCGCCACCATGCCCAGCCAAATTTTTTATTTTTAGTAGAGTCGGGGTTTCACCATGTTGGTCAGGCTGGTCTCTAACTCCTGACCTCGTGATCCCCCTGCCTAAGTGCAGGGATTACAGGTGTGAGCCACCGCGCCCAGCTGGCCTCATTCATTCTATCTAACTGTACTTATGTACTCATTTAATCATCCTCACTTTATCTTCTCCTCCCTGCTTCCCTTCCCAGCCTCTGGTAACCATCATTGTACTCTCTATCTCCATTAGCTCATTTTTCATTTTTTTTTACCTCTCACGTATGAGTGAGAACATGTGATATTTGTCTTTCTGTGCCTGGCTTATTTCACTTCACATAATGTCCTCCAGTTCCATGCATGTTGTTGAAAATCACAGGATTTTATTTTTTTTATTGCTAAATAATATACCATTGTGTATATATGCCACATTTCCTTTATCCATTCATCTGCTGATGGACACCTAGGTTGCTTCCAAATCTTGGCTATTGTGAATAGTGCTGCAATGAACATAGGAGTGTAGCTATCTCTTTGATATACTGATTTCTTTCCTTTTTGATATATATCAGCAGTGGGATTACGGGATCATATGATAGTTCCAATTTTAGTTTTTTTGAGGAACCTCCATACTGTTTTCTGTAGTGGTTGTACTAATTTACATTCCCACCAACAGTGTATGAAGGTTTTTCATTTTCTCTACATCCTTGCCAGTATTTGTTACTGTCTGTCTTCATGTCCTTGCCAACATTCATTTTGCCTATTTTTTGGGTAAAAGCCACTTTAACTGGTATGAGATGATATCTTATTGGAGTTTTAATTTGCATTTCTTTGATGATTATTGATGCTGAACACTTTTAAAATGTAACCGTTGGCCATTTGTATGTCTTCTTTTGAGAAATGTCAACTCTGATCTTTTGCCCATTTTGATTGGATTTTTTTGTTTGTTTGTTTTCCTCTTGAGTTGTTTGAATTCTTAGATAGACTGGTTATTTGTACTTTGTCAGATGGGTAGTTTGTAAATATTTTCTCCCGTTCTGAATGTTGTCTCTTCATTTTGCTGATTGATTCCTTTGCTACTCAGAAGCTTTTTAGATTAATGTGATCCCATTTGACAGAGCTGTTTTAAAATTCATTTACAAAATGAATTTTACAAAAGCAAATAAATTTTTTGAAAAGAAACAGAAATTAGGAAGAGAATCTGCCCTTAATGGCACTTAAGGTACTTACATCAGTAAATAAAATACAAAGCTGAAGTAGGATTTGTCAACATCAGCACCATTGATATTTGGGGCCAGATAATTTTTTATTGTGGATGCTGTCCTGTGCATTGTAACATGTTCAGTAGCATCAGTGGCCTCTACTCTACTCATCAAATGCCTGTAGCACCTTCTCCTTCAGTTGTGATGACCAAAAATGTGCTCTTGGTAGAAAATTTACCCCTGGTTGAGAACCACTGAGCTAAAGAACAAAAAATAGAATCAGAAATTAATGAAATATGTTGAAAAGCTCAAAAATTGACCAGTTATATATAAGAAATTCATGTATGGTAAGGTAGGCATTACTAAGCAATGAATAAGGAAAATATTTACAATTGGAGTTGTGATTCTCAATTTTAAAGTAGATTAGCGTATAACCCATGTTTAATACTATACATTAAAATTAATGCTGTGAATAGAATTAAATATATGAAGTAATATCATTAAAAATAACCAGAAGAGAATAGATTCAACTGTCTGATCTTTGAGGTAGTAATTATTGAAAGAAATTATCTGAAGATTCTATCACATTAAAAAAAATCACTGCCCTGCTTAAAAAAAAATCAGTGTTTTGACATGAATGTCATAATTAAAAAGGGAAATCATAGAAAAAGAAGACATTTGAACCTATTATAACAGATTTAGGATTAAACATATATACCAAGGGTTAGCAAACTTTTTTGGTAAAGGGCCAAATTATAAATGTTTTAGGCCTTGTGGGCAGGGACAGTTTCATGGACTTGTTACCTGCACTTGGTTGAAACTTCTGCTGTCACTGTCTTAACATTCCCATTAATTGTTTAACAAGGGGCTCCACATTCTCAATTTTTACTGGACCCTGTAAATTATATAGTCACTTCTACCTGTGGGCCATACAATCTCTGTTGAAACTATTCAACTCTGTGGTTGTAGTATGCAAAAGCAGCCATACATAATACATAAATGAATGAGTGTGGAAGTATTCCAATAAAACTATAAAAACAGGCAATAGACCAGGTTTGGCCCATGAGCCATAGTTTGTTGATTCTTTGTCTATATGATATAGAATGTTTATAGAAATTGAAAATAACCATATATTAATGAATTGTCCAACCTCAATAATTCTTAAACAATTGCCTATTAACAGAAAATGACTACTGAAATAATACAAACTTAAAATAATGATAAATTTCTATATTAATAGAATCATGATAAACCTAGTATCTCAAGAAATGCTCACTCCAAGCATAATTTTGGAAAACATTTGAAGAACACATTTGAAGAATTATTTAAAAAGACACTTACCCTTTGACTCAGTAACTTCACTCCTAGGAATTTATCTCAAAAAATAAATCAAAATTAGAAAATGCTATATACATGACTAGATTCTTTTAAAAGATGAAAAACCAAAAACCACATAAATATCATATAACACAAGTATGCTCAATTCAAGTACGATCTATCAATTTTATGGAAGAATACACTATTCTTGATAGTATATCAAGAATATGCTATCAATGTGGATCAAAAATGATCCACATTGGGAATATGAGATAGCATCTTGGAAAGTGTTTTCAGTATTCTGTTAAGTGGAAAGAATAAGCAATAAAGTCTGTCGATGCTGTATTTGCAATAATATAAAAACTATTGTATGCATAATGATAAATATTGGAAGAAACCACAGAGGAAAGAATCAGAATACAGTCTTTGAGTTCCAACTCTGACATCAGTCTAGTTCTGGGTGGGACATGTGGCCACTCCTTGTTTGACAGAGCACCACTTGACATGACCCTGAGCAAGGTACTTGACCTATGACTCAGTTTATTTTTCTACAAAATAGATGTAGATAACACTATACTCCCTATCTCATAAGGATGTGACACTTAAATGAAAAATATATAGGGCATAGTGCAGTGCTTTGCCCATAGTAAGCTTTCAAATGGTAGCTATTATTGTTATTATTACTATTTTTATTAGCAAAGCATGGGAAATTAAAAGTTTATTTCATTTTTAGTTCAGCTGTTAACATGTTATTTGTGCAGTTAAAGAAACTTCTAACAGCTGTCTTTTAAAATGTAATGATTAAGACTACAGCAATCTTGGCAGGTAGCAAACTAAAACCATTAAAACACGGATAATAAAAAGACTATTATAAAGATTTCACCAACAGAAATGGGAAAAGAATTACTGGAATGCTTTCAAATAAGTTGCTAAGGAAAGTCACAGAGACAATTAAAATGAGCACAGGGAAAAAGGTAATGAGCGGTGATAATTAAAGCTGCCACCAGATACATATACACATGCACACTCACACACATCTATATGTCCTTTAGGGAAATTGACTGAGTCAGCAGAGGAACAGAGGAAAGGATAGTTTTTAAACCGGCCATGTCATGAACACGCTCCTCCATCCGGCTTCTCCCCTACTGTGAAAGGGGAAGAGAAGTCACACAGCATCAGCATTAATGCTACGGAAGCTTTCTGTTAAAGCTTGTCCTTGCCTTTGTCCTCACCTCTCACTGTAGGTGGATGGGGCTCCCAGACACCATGTAGATAGATGGTCCGTGGAGGTTCGCAGTTGGGTTACTTTAAGCAATTCTGCCCCAAGTGTAGGAGGTGGGTACATAACACTGAATTCACTCCAGCTACCTGGTACGTGAGAAAAGAAGCATTTAATGCTGAAATCTGGAAGTATTCTGCAACTTCATGATAATTATCCTTGTTACAAAGGGCCAGATTATGATTTATAGGACCATCTCACCTTGTTGCTCTCTATCTAGGAATATCTGTTAGACTGAACTAGGCAGTGTTCTATTTCCTCGCCATGCCAGAATTTGCAAATTCTCTCAGCACAGAGATGTATGTGTATAATGTTTGAGTATAAAACAATATATTACCTACAGGAAGTCAGTAGATCGTTAATGATATTAAGATGTTCTACTTGTGGTATCAAATTCTCAACATTTTGACTGTGCTGCTCCTCATAATACCTAAAGATGCAGGGAACATGCTGTTCTGAGATTATGTCTTGCTCCATACCCACCTGGACAGTATTTATCCTCTTGTTGCTATCCTGCGATCAGTTCTAATTGGGTAATCAAGCTCACACTTTCTAGAGCTCCCTAATCTATGCATTACCTCAGCTGGGCTCTTAGAACCTTCATTTACTCTGAAATTCACAGGTAGAATGCTCATAGCCTTGGCAGAGAGCCAGGGAATCCCTTTGTTTTGTCCCTTGGTGTTACCGTCTTATGTACTTGCTCATCGTGCCAGTGTCCTTTTTTCATTTCCCCATAGTATTCTGGCAGAAATAATGGAAGCCTCAACTGGAGCACTTCACTGACATCAGTAGATGTGTTCTCTAGATCTGGGTTTCTTTGGCATTAGTGATGTTTGGGGCTGGATAATTCCTTGTTATGGGAGGTTGCATTGTGCATCATAGGATGTAGAGCAGTATCCTTGGCCCCTACCCACTAAATGCCTTGAGTTGTAACAACCCAAAATGTCTCCAGACTTTGCCAAATGTCCACTGAGGGGCAAAATTGCTTCAATTGAGAACCACTCTTCTAGATGATACTTCTATATGAACTTCTAACCACTTTTATGTTAAAAATGTCATTTAATTGAGCACGGTGGTTTACATATATTAACTCATTATTTATCACTTCAACTATAAAAGGATGTTATTAAATCCTTTCTTTCAGATGAGGAAATTGAGGCCCTGCCAAGTGTTACACAGTTAATAAGCAGCAATATCAGGAAAACTGTTTTCAAACTGACTGCTTTACCTAATCTTATAGTCCAGATGGATACAGGCTTAAGATAAGGCTTGATCCAGCAGTACAAAGACATTAAATATGGACTTTATCCTCTCACACTCCTCCCACCTAATTTAATTTCTTAGCTCCCTTTCTTTATCCTCATGTTTCACCCCTTGGCCTAGCAGCTCTAGACTTTCCTCTTGTGGTAGTAGTTCATGTCATACAGCTTCATATTACCCCATCCAAAAAGAAGGCACACTTTCATGGTAGCTCCACAGAAATTTAACTGTTTTTCCTCTTAAGCTCCAGAAAAATATTTCACTGGTTCTCATTGAGTCATATGCCCATCTCTGAACCAACGGTTGCAGCTAGAAGGTTGAACATGTTGTTGGCTTTAGCCAATCAAGGCTCTACCCTGGAGCAAGGCATAGGGTTAATCCCCATCAAACGATATAGCCAAAAGTAAGGAGAACTGGTTTTTCAAAGTATGTTAGAACGATAATCCCAGAAGATGAAGAAATGGATGCTGGGTTGAGGACAAATAACATGCTTCTACACCAATTTTGTTAACAATGTTAACATGACTCCTACAGTTGATAGTTTTTGTTAACACTACCCCTCTCCCTGTTCTATTTTTGCAACTTTACCATAGGCCTGTTTTCTTTTTCTTTTTTCATAAGGTATTGCAGTACAGGCAGTATTAGGTTACATAAGTAAGTTCTTTAGTGGTGATTTGTGAGATCCTGGTGTACCCATCACCTGAGCAGTATACGCTGCACTGTATTTGTTGTCTTTTATCCCTCACCCCTCTCCCACTCTTCCCCCCAAGTCTCCAAAATCCATTGTATCATTCTTATCAAAGGCCTGTTTTCTTTGCTTGACATTGCTGGAAACTCCTTGAGATAAGTGTCCAGGGACAGCCCATTAGTCAGTAAAGAACAGTATGGTGGACCCAGATCCGTGGGTCCTACCCTGCTCTTTGGAGAGGCTTCCCCAGCTGGCTCCTATGGAATGGCTGGAACCTCTGGCTCACAGGGACTCCCTGAAGGGCAGAGCCAGACTGACCCCCTGCAAGTAGTACAGCACTTCATTCTTCAAGGGGAAAAGAAAGGAACTTACCTTTTTTGAGCACTTACTGCATGCCACACCAGTCACATACACCATATTATTTCTTTCTACAACCACCCTGAGGTAGGTATTGCCACCGTGCTTTAAAAACGAGGAAATGGAAGCTCAGAGGTGAAGTAACTGCCCCAAATCATACCACCTGCAGGAAGCAGTACACAGGTTTGAAATGATGGCTGTTTCACTCTGAAGTGTGTGCTTTTTGTCTCCAAAAGTGAATATCTTAGAAGAATATATATTTACAGAGAATATACATTTGCTAAGAATTTGTTACTTATCAAGAAATATGCTCAACACTACTTGAATAAGACAGAACTCAAAGCCTTTTCTCTTTTTCTGAGGATTAAATGAATGGAAGAAGGAAAGAAAATAGGAAAAAGAAATTCCTTGTATAATGAGAGGATCCTTAGCTGTTCTAGTAGTAAAGAGACCATGTAGAAAATCAGCATCAACATATAACAACAACAGCATCTATAGCAATGGTGAAGCAAGTTCTTCACTAGGAGAGCAATGCATGACTTCTTTAGGTAGTGACACCAAGTCCTCAGAGAAATATAGCAGCAGCTGGGGCAGCCCTGCAGCAACTTGGGAATTGAAGTAGCACCTGAGAAACTGGGGAAGCCAGCAGTATGTATGACAGTCCCATCATAAGGCAACTCAGCTCTCCCCTCAGGTTGGTGTGTCCTAGGGGAATTCCTGTTAGATGATGTGCCAATACACACCAGCATGCTTTTTGCTAAAAGGCAGATTCTGCAGTCTACCATTTTTCCATCATATGTCTCAGAGAATATGGGCAATTGTATGTGATGTGGCTTGTTCTACAGATAGTCTAGAGCAGGAGTCCTCAAATTGGGTTCTGCAGAGGGCTAGCCTTCTGAGAGAGAGCCTTAAAGATGGTATGAGGTGGGACCAGGAGGCAACCTGTGTGTTTTTTCTTCACTGCTTCTCCTAGGGTACCTCCACTTCAGCATGTTTCTAATATTTGAGTTCTATGTAAGATTGTGTCTGTGAAGGACATTTTACACTAACAAAGATTTAAAAGCCATAGTCTCAGAAGGAAGTACATATCTGCCTCTGAAATGTCTAAGTTATCTGAGAATGACAGGTCTTAAAACAGTATGGAAGTCAACAGCTGTGAAGGACACCAGCTGTTGGTGGCAAGTCTCTCCTGAGTTTGCATGGGAACAGTAGTTTGTTGGTGTACAATAGTGTCGGTCACGACATTCTAAAAATAGAATTTGTGTGAGACCATTCATCATAAAGCAAACCCCCGCCCCCGCCATGATAGTAGATCCTTTATTAATTCACCCACAGACAACAGGACCTATAATGATACATTCTAAGTAAAGCACCAGGACTTTAAGTGTTTTGGTTGTCTATCCCAACTAGTGACAGTGAAAGAGGCTACAGACTACTTCTCTCCCAACCTACCATCTAAGAGTATGAAGAAACGCATTTAAGAAATGGAGTGGGGCCTGGTGCAGTGGCTCACACAGGTAATCCCTGTGCTGTGGGAGACTGAGGTGGGAAGATTGTTTGAAGCCAGAAGTTTGAGACTAACCTGGGCAACAAAGTGAGACCCATCTCTACAAAAAAAAAAAAAAAAAAAAAAAAGAAAAGAAAAATTTTTAGCTGGGCACCATGGGATGAGCCTGTAGTGCCAGCTATTTGGGAGGCTGAAGTGGGACAATTGCATGTGCCCAGGAGTTTGAGCTTGCAGTGAGCTATGATGGTACCACTGAACTCCAGTCTGGGTGACAGACTGAGACCCTGTTTCCAAAAAAAAAAACCTTAATTGGGGAAATCGTGCTATATTTTGAGATAACTTGAGTTCCCCTGGGAAGTGATGAAATGGCAAATGTAGTGTAAAATCAAACATCCAGTCACTTTAGTTGTATCAATTTAAAGAAAATGATGTATGAATATTGATATGGTTAGGCTTTGTGTCCCCACCCAAATCTCATCTTGAATTGTAATCCCCATAAGCCCCATGTGTCAAGGGAGAGACCAGGTGGAGGTAATTGAATTATGGGGGCAGTTTCCCCCATGCTGTTCTCATGGTAGTGAGTGACTCTCAAAAGATCTGATGGTTTTATAAGCATCTGGCATTTCCCCTGCTTGTACTCATTCTCTCCCCTACCAACCTGTGAAGAGGTGCCTTCTGCCATGATTTTAAGTTTCCTGAGGCCTCCCCAACCATGCAGAACTGAGTCAATTAAACCTCTTTTCTTTATAAATTACCCAGTCTGAAGTATTTCTTCGTAGCTGCATGAGAACAAACCAATACAAATATATATATATGAAGTACATATATACATTATATGTGTGTATAACCAAACCAGTACTTCATTATTGTAGAAAACAAATAGTTTTTAGTTTCTTTTTAAAATGTGTCAACATTATGTAATAATATGAAACCTCTGCCCGAGTTCTTCTCCTGTTTCAATTAATGATGTATTATAACATATGGCTTGATATCTGGTGCTAAATCTCCCCCATATTATAGAGATGGAATAACAAGCCCTCAAGCCTCCCTAGGGGAGCTATTGTGAGGAATAAATAAGAATATTCCACTGTGCCATAGTCTCTGGCAATTGGCAATGTAAGAAGCTGAAGAAAATAGAAAACTTCTGCAAAAATGGACATTCTCTACAAATTTGGGTGAAGGTCTTTGCTTTTGTTGATGATTACACACTAACAATGATTTAAAGTGCTCTGCCAGAAAATAGGGGGGATGCCAGGATCATATCCAAAAGATATGATCCACTATTCAATTTTGAACATTCATTTTAGTTCATGGTGGGGAACAATTAAAAGCTTCCATTTTGATGACTTTGAATTTGTTTCCCTTCTTTTCACTGAACTCAAAGTTAATGATGCTCTCGGCTGCTGTCATTGAGTCTTTCACAGAGTGTTTTATTCCTTCCTTATAAAGTGGGCATCGTGGTGACGGTTTCACTTCGGAAAGAAAACACACTATGAGCTCTGAGTGCCCTGAGGCCTAGGGTTGGGGTTTATAGACACAATGGAGGAGATCTGAGGGTGCAAAAAAGCTGTGCAGCAGGTCTTCAAATAACATTGCTTCATTACAATGTTGATAAGGAAAAAAAGTTGATTACTGGTCAGTGCCACAGTCTGGCTGAAGTTTGCATGCTTTCTCCATGTCTGTGGGTTTTCTCTGGGTACTCTACCTTCCTTGCACATCCCAAAGCTACGCACATTAGGTGAAGTGGTGTGCTTATGTGGTCCCAGACTGAGAGAGTGGGTGTGGTGTGAGTGTCCCTCCCATGGGATGGCGTCCTGTCCAGGGCTGGTTCCTCCAGTTGCTGGGATGAATAATATCAACCCTCAACCCTTAGTATATAATTAGCTTTTTATTAATCTTTCTTAAATGTATGTATAGTTCACATTTATTGCAATGCTTAATATTAAAAGCATTTTGATATCTGTCTTTGGAACTTCGGTGATACTTTTATAGCCAGAAATGTGCCATAGGAACTTAACTCCAGTTTATATTAATTAGCCTATGGTAAAATTGGCTTTGTTGTACGTCATTTTGCTGAAAGTCACAGTTTCCAAGATCTGAGGACTTACCATGTTAGCATGTTTGTTAATTCATGCATGTTACCATGAATTTGTGTTTGTGCAGGAATCTGTCATTTGGACTCATTTAAGGAATGAATTTTGCCAGCAATTCCTCCTTAAGTGAGTAGGATCATTAAGTCAATTTCTTTAGAATACATGACATCTTTAATGTTTCTTATGGCCCATTTGTGGAGTGAAATATTGCCACTGCTCACACTGTGGCTTCCCTAAAATAGCAGGCACCGCAGATGGATTTAACGAGAGCCATGCCTCACCTCTCTGTGCAGGGCTGACTGGCTCATTCCAATTCCACATAGCTCACCCAAAGCAAGAGCTGGTCCACTGCCATACAAGGATTTACCCATAAACTCCTGTTTCCCAGAATTTCTTAACCCAATTGCAAAAACTTCCTGTGCAGCTGAACACGAAGCGGGAGCATGCAGTGAAAATAACTCCAAATGAACAAAGAAAGAAGGACCCAAAGCAGTCAGAATGAGTTGGTTTTGAAATGTCACACACCCATGCTTACACATTGTGTTCACTCTTGGAGGCTTCATACACTCAGTTAGCATTATCCCCCCGCCCCCCACCCCACCACCACCCCCACCCCCTATGTAACCAAGAAATATAATTTAAATGTGTCAGATACTAGAGACAGCGATCTGGTGGATCATTAAGATGCTTTGTAAAAATGATAGATCCTTTCCTATTTTACCAAACCAGTTGTCAATATTGAGGCTTGGAGGATGTTTAGGATCAACCCATCAATATCCCTTATTTTGCATCTGGAGAAACTGAGGCCCAGAGAGATTAAAGTCATTTTTCGTAGATCGTACAGTAAGTAAGTGAGAAAACTGAGGTCTGACCTCATGTCTCCTGACTCCCAATTTAATGTTCTTTCTACAGAACCAAAGAGCCCATGGCTTATTTTCATCACTTTTCAATCTAATTTCCTGAGCTTACCCTCCTGACATGATGGTTTAGCTGCTTGCACTATGAACAAGTGTCATGGTAGCTTTTCCCAAAGGTGATTTTCCTGGGAATCCCTTTGCTTATTACAAGGAGGCAGAAAAAGATTTTGAGATATTAATTTGTGCACACACATGTATGTGTGTTGATTCCCCTCCCCCCTCCTCACTCATCCCATTCCATTTCAATACCAAGCAAGTAGCCAGGGCTTGAGTGTGCCTTAGTCATTACAGAGATATATGCCAGGGAAAACAGCTGAAGCTACTGAAAGTCACTGATTGTTCTTGTTGTCATAGGCTGTTTGTGCTGCTATAACAAACCACCATACACTGGGTGGCTCATAAACAAAAGAAGTGTGTTTCTCATAGTTCTGGAAGCTGGGAAGTCCAAGATCAAGGCATTGATAGATTCAGTGTCTGGTGAGGGCCCTCTTCCTAGTTCATAGATGACTGTCTTCTCCTTGTGTTCTTATGTGGCAGAAAGGAGTGAGAGAGCTTGCTGGGTCTCTTTTATAAAGAAACTAATCCCATTTATGAGGGCTTCAACCTCAAGACCTAATCACCTCCCAAAGATCCCATCTCTTAATACCATCCCTTGGAGGCTGGGATTTCAACATATAAATTTGACACAGCTCTTGTGTTTTATCAAAGCTTATATTTTTTTAAGTTGTTATACTGGTATACCTGAAGGGGCAGGAAGAGAAGAGGCATGTCCTTGAGGGCCAGAAGGGAGAAGGAAGGAGCATATTCCTCAAAACTAGAAAAGAGGAACAAAATGATTAGGTCTTTCTATTAATGGAGACATATGTCCTGTTGGGTGGCAGATCTTCTGTGAGGTAGCGGAACCTGAAAGGTGATGACCACATGGGGGCACCAAAAGAGGCTGAACCTTGGACCCTGCAACTCCAAGCCCCAGCAAAGGTGCCTGTGCCCTAATTGTGACACAGAAGCAGCAGAGCCATGGGAACTTGAAGGGACTTTGTGGGCTGCACACAAAGGGCTGCAGAGCTAACCAGTATAGATCAGCACCTTGAGGGCCTCTTTGATGCACTAGGATCCCGTAGGGGAGCCCCAATAATCACGACTGGGAATACATTTCCTGTGGCCCAATGTGATGGTGGCTTCAATGCCATACATACATTCACTTTAAAAAATAAAAAAATGTAAAAGTGTTCCTTTTTCTCTGCAACTTTGCCAGCATCTGTTGTTTCTGGACTTTTTAATAATCGCCATTCTGACTGACATGAGATAGTATCTCATTGTGGTTTTGATTTGCATTTCTAATGATGAGTGATGTTGAACGTTTTTTCATAGGTTGGTTGTTGGCTGCATGAATGTCTTCTTTTGAAAAGTGTCTGTTCATGCCTTTTGCCCACTTTTTAATGGGGTTTTTTTCTTGTAAATCCATTTAAGTTCCTAGTAGATTCTGGACATTAGATTAATAGATTGCAAAAAGTTTCTCCCATTCTGTATGTTGCCTGTCTTTAACATTTTCCTTCAAAAGAGTTTCCAAGTGAATTGTAGGCCAGCAGCTCAGGCTATACATAATTTCATTTTGAGGTTAAACAACCCCCAAATCTGTTCATTTTTCATTTGACATAATGAAAACAGGAGAACCCACAGTTATTCAGAAGATGTGAAGTTTCTAGTTTTTCAATTTTGTTCCTGTGTTTTTTGTTTTTTGTGATGGAGTCTCACTCTTTTGCCCAGGCTGGAGTGCAGTGGTGTGATCTCAGCTCACTGCAACCTCCACCTCCTGGGTTCAAGCGATTCTCCTGTCTCAGCCTCCCAAAGTAGCTGGGATTACAGGCATGTGCCATCACACCCGGCTAATTATTTACATTTTTAGCAGAGATGGGGTTTCACCATATTGGCCAGGCTGGTCTAGAACTCCTGGCTTCAGGAGATCCACCCACCTTGGCCTCCCAAAGTGCTGGGATTACAGACACAAACCACTGCTTTCAGCCGGCTTTCCTTTTAACTCAGATCAATCTGACAAATTCAAGATGACTGCCTAGGATGTTTGAGATACTTTGTTATTGCTGTCAGGAGCACACACACATGCACACACTCCATCAAGAAGTTTAGGGAGAGCAGGTGAGAAAAATAATGTTGCAAACTCCCCTCACCCACATGCCCACGGCAGGTGTCTCCTTCCAGGCCTAATATAAGCTCCCTCCACTGACCAAAGCTGTGGTTCAAATGCTCCTCGTACACAGTAGGGATGCAGTGGAACAAACACTGGATTTTAAAAGCAAAGCGTGAGGTCCACATCCTTTATTTGGATCCTAGTTTCTTTAATTCCTTCACCTGTTAATGGATGTGATACCTGCCTCACCAACTAGAGGGTTGGTCAGAATATATCACACTTAAAAGCGCGGTGTAAAAAATTTTTAAAGACATTGTCAAAGAATAAGTATATAAAACAGACAAGAAGGAATTAAGTATAGAGGGTAAAATGTAAAGAAGTAGAAAAGGTAAATAACTTAATAAATTTAAACAAAAGAAAAAAACTGGACAGAGGTTGATAGTAAATTCCAGTGGAACTATTGGGGATGTGACGTATTAGGGAAATGAGATTATTTAAAAGCAGAACCAATTGAGTACACCATAAACGCTAGACAGGAAAGGGGGAGTCATAATCTAAAACAGTTAAATAGTGAATTTTGTGCAGAAGTTGAAGGCAACTGGACAAAGTAGCAGCCGAATTTTTGGGAGAGTAGATTGACTAGAGAAGACCAATAGGAAGTTAATAGAAACTCGCAGGAGAAAAATACAAAATAAGTGAGTTGAATGGATAAGACAAGGAAAGATTCCCCCCTCCCACCCACCCTCAAGTCACTGTCTTATTTGCCTAGGAGTTAATATAAAGTGTTTCATGGGTTGGAGCCCCCAAGGAGATTCATCTGACCATTCCTATGACCTGCCTTGTTCAAATTGGTCAGTTCTAAACTCAGAATAAAAAAGTTGTTAGGTCTGCTTCTGGAAGTTTGTCTTGCTTGTTATCAGATCAAGGGTTTGATGTTGGATCAGAGCCACAATGATACATTAATTCACAAGTGTAATTGTATATTGAAATGGCAAAGTGTATCTGCAGTCATTCAGTAAAAAGAAAAACAGTGCAGTGTGGTATTCAAGGATTAGCTGTGTTTATCATTTTGCATCTTATTAAATTTGCAACATTCCCAAGATCTCAGAAACAGAAACAAAAGCTAGTTCTCATGTGTACCCTGTAGCCAATTTTGGGGCCCTGATTACCTATTCCATGAGAATATACAAACTTTGAGAAATTCACACTTTATTTTTTTCCATTTATAAAACCAATACATATAAAATGCAAAAAAGAAAAACTCATCAAATGTTTAATCATTCATAGGAATCCATTTCTAATAATTTGATGTATTTCCTTCTAATATTTTCTAGGCATATTTTATTTCATGATTTCATGCTGTATTTCACAGATAAATTTTTTTAAATTTATCTTTATAATAAAAAAGGGCATTTAAAATACTCTTTTAAAATAAGGTGTCCAATTCTAAAATGCTGTGTGCATTTGAAAACTTTCATCTTTGAGTTTCTACAACAAGATCTTTAATAGGAAGTAAAATTCAGCAGCAAAACTGACCATAAATTTACAGAACCCATTTGAAGGGTCAGAGCCAGCAAAGTCAGCAGATTCTAAAGCCTCTCCAATTTCTGTGCCTTGCCAAGTGACTGAAGTGGAGAGGCAATTTGACTATTGCCTTCTGACTTTAATTAATGTTTAATACTCAGTGGCAAACGTGCACTTCCTCTTGTAAGTTCTCATTAAGTTCTTTTTGAATCAGTTAACACTCTGTTTATAAAGATGTGGGTATTTTCTCTTAATTACTGTAATTTTGACTACTGCTGTAAAAATCAGTTCTCCATGTCACACTGTCAGAGATCATTACAGATGTATACAGGCTTCTCCCCTCCCTCTCCTGGAACCAATCCAGTCATCTCTGGAAATTAAATGCATTAAAAGGTTTAATAAAGAAAAGGAAAATCCAGACATATCATATCTCATTTCAAACCATTCCAGAATAAAACCAGGATGTATTCATCAGGATGCTGAGATGTATTGTTTAAACATTAAGGATATCGATGCAGAGTTCTATTAATTACAATAAATTATTGTAAATCCAATTCATTCCACTGAACAAGGATGAATTGAGATGACTGATGCTCACAGAAGCACATTTTTGATTGTTGATATTTCCTTTCATATGGAAAGACACCCGTAAGGGCATAAACCCTGGCCTCTGTCCACACCTTCAGTTGTTCTTCCCCTGGGATGCAATAAAGTACACGATTGCCAAGTTTGCAAGAAAAACTAGGTATGCATAGCTCAGCATCTTCCTTTCTCCTTCCCCTTGGGAGCCAGCTACCACAGGAAATATGTGTTCTAGTCTGTTCCTTCTGTGTGGAAAAGGACTGTGGTTTTCTAGCACTATCTATGACTGAGTAGGCACATCTACCTGATTTTGTGGTTCAGTATTAGGAGGTCCACCTAAGTCTCTAACCCAGGCTTTAGAAGTAATGAGGGACTATTTTGATCTCTCTCACACCTCTCTCAACTGATTCAAAACCCATCGTGGGCTAAAGTGGGTGCTATTTTATCAACACCACCAAAACACAAAGGCTAGTTTCAAAATAAAAAAGAATTAAAACATCAGACTTTTAGACATTATTAAAGTTTTTTTTTTTTTGAACTAGTCATTCTCTGCTCTGAATTTGCAGGTTTTTAAAATTTATTTATTTTTTTTCCAGTGAATTCTGCTGTACTCTCTGCCTTGTAGTGTTTAATTCTGGATCTATTGAATAAAAAGGAAGGAATCTAGCTGTCTGGCCAGAATTTTCTTTGGCAGGAGGTTGTTATTCCTCATGCATTGATATTTGTCCTCTGTCATATTAGGAATTACTTTCCCTATTAATAATGACTTGATGAGGTTAAGTGAATTGTCCAAGCTTACACAGCCATTTAGCAGCAGAAGAGGGGTTTGAACTGTCCAGCTCCAAGGCCAGAGTTTTTCTTCAGGAAAACTTTCACTGTATCCCTTCCTACAACCCCTACACCATGCCCAGTCCTTTCACTGTCATGACTATTGCGGGAAGGGAAAAAAGAAACAGAAAATGGTGCCCCAATTAAAAAAAAAACAAAAAAACTTGTAAGAGAGCAGTGGGAACCATCTGTGGCCTGAAGTCTCCTGGCTATAAATGAGATCGTTTGTTTTTTTTTTTTTTAGTTTTGGTTTCTTTCTACCCCCAAGCAGGTTAAGCCATATACATCAAGCAGAGATTTAGCACAAATTCTCCTATTGCAAGAGTTTAATTTTCTCAGGTACTTTTGAAAATGGAGGAAGATTCCACATTGTTTTTTAAAATGTCTTATGTGATTATCCTATTGATTGGGGCTAACCAAGGCTCTTTTCAATTGCAAAACAAATCTGATGACCTTTTTCTTTCGAATTTGTTTAATGGCTTTGAAAATGTTACTACAAAAGTCAAAATGTCTTGAGTTTACTACCCAGGGAATTCTCACCCTTGACAAAGATTCATTTGTGTCACCACAATAATAAAACCCATATATTAGAGAAACATCAAAGTATACTTTATTTTATTTTAGTGAACTTTGCTCATTGTTGATTCACTTGCTTTAAAGTAGTCGATTTTCCTTCCTGTTGCTGTATGCAGCATCAGAGAGAAAACCAAGTTTATGCTAATCCATATTGACACAAATATTCTGAATTTCTCTCATTATCTTCCTTACATATTTTTACTTTTTCTATCTTATACTTCAAACTCCCTATTCTTGATCATCAAATTATGTGGCCTGGTTAAATGTAATTTTCAAAGCATTACACTTTCAAAGGTAAATTTTAAAATCACATACAAACACACATTTCAGCACTTTTATGCTTGCAGAAGCATATTGCCGTGGAAAAAGGCCTAAGTGCAGCCACAAGTGAATGAACAAAATATTTGAGTACAGTTAGTGACAGGAAGTTGAACTGATTTGTGGGAGGCCAATTTTTCTGGTGCCGTTTTATTTTTTTAATGTCTTCGAAAGTAAACAACTGATTATCCAAAAGCATTCTTTGCAGGTCTTTGAGCCTCACTGAGAAATTCTGGAATATATCTCATCTGCTCTCCTGGTTCTGCAAAAACTGGTTCAAGTAGACCAGTGGCCTTGGAGTGTCTGTTCTCACTGTGGTGCTAGTGTCACTGGGACAACTGGGCAACTGGGCATCATGACATAAAAAGGCTACATGTTATTGCTCCTAAATTGTTCTGTTTGGGGAGCTTTTTTCAGGTTAAGTAGATAATTGTATCCTCTTCCTCCTCTTTTTTTTTTTTCTTAAAAAGAGAAAAAAAATAATGAAGAAATTGGGGTTAAAGAGTAACAAGCAATTTGTCCAAGGTCATAGGTCTAATGAGTAGCAGAGCCTGGACCTTCTGATTACAAATCTGCTTTTTGTACTGCTCAGCACTGATTCACATATCACAATAGCCTTGGGCCTATAATCACATCCCTAGTTGCCTGCCTGCTGAGCTACATCTGTGTTTTCATGGAGAGATTAGAATTATACCAGCATTTCAACCCCATCACTACCTTGCCCTAGCTATGAGGTCTTGGGCAAGTTATTTTTTCTCTGTGAACCTCAGTTTCCTCAATCAGTAAAATGGGTATAAAGGCACTCAACATTACGAGGGGCTTTTAAAGAAAATGTCCGGTTGTTCATAGGTACCTAAAGACTTCCCTTTATCTTATTAACTTTCTTTTGGCTTATCTGACTCCAGCTAAAATAAATATGTGTCTGATCCTACACTGAACAACTTTCTTACCTGATCCAATCACCGAAACTTCCCCATTCAGGTCAGCATCTGAGCACTTCAGATTCCAAACCTGTGTTGGAATATACGTCTCATACATAGGACTAATCTTTCCAAATAGACTTGAGTTAGCTTTCAAAGGACATTTAGATTAAGCCCAGAATCTTTTTCTGAACTGAAATGTAACTGCTACTCAACATATATTTCATTTACCAACAGATGGCTGCATTTAATTCTGTTTACTACCATAACAAGCTTCTCTAAACATAGACATGCCAAACTGGAGGTAGGTGTGTGATTTTAGGGCCATTCTTCATTTACTTCTGAAAGTGTAATGATTAAAAAATTATTTTGTAACTGGGGAAAATGGAATAATGTTTACAAAAAGAGAAAGTTTGAATCACAATCTTAAAATGAAAGTGAGCTCATCAGAAGGGTTGATGGTGGTAGAGATGGTACCCTGTGCCTTGGGCCCTACCAGAATGACCCAACGGGGATGGGAGTTGTCATGGCTTTAATGTTTGTCCCCTTCAAAATTCATAGTGAAATTTAATTGCCATTGTAACAGTATTAAGACGTAGGACTTTTGAGATGATTAGGCCATGAAGGCTCCACCTTCATGGGTGGGATTGGTGCATTATATAAAGACAAACTTGGCCCTCTCTTGCTATTGCTCTTTCTCTCACCTTCTGACATGTAATGTTTTAGCAAGAAGGTCCTTACCAGATCCCAGCTCCTTGATATTGGACTTCTCACCCTCCAGGACTGTCCATTATAAGTCTCAGGTATTGTGATACAGCTGCACAAAATTATCTAAGACAGAAGTGGAGACCAGAATCTCAGGACCTCAGTTATTCAGAAAGTGGCCAGAACAACTTTGCATTGGAGGGTATGAGGAAGACAAAATTACCCTTTAAACATGGTTTGAAAATAATTTTTGGGCTTTGCCACCATGTAATTCCAAAGTCAGCTAAGGCTACTTGACCCTTTAATATCATTATAATACTGACTCAGTTCTCCATTCTGTACTTGCAGAGGTTCAGAGTACTACCCAAGATTTCTGTGAATTCTTGGGGTAGGGAGAAGGTGGTGAGAGGCAAGGAATGAGAGAAGGATTTACATTTACATGGTCTCCTCTAGGTTCATGGTCCTGATTCTGCATATTCAGCTTAGTTTGTGTGACTTCTCTGTCATTCAAGTTCTTATCCTTTTCCACGTGTCATCAACATGGAGCCAAGGTGTTGTTTTCTCCCCCCTACTGTTTGTAACATACACATACCCACTCACAAGGCAGTTGTTTGTAGAAAGTATAAGGAGAAGAGGGTGAGTTTACCTTGAAATGTTGCAAATAACTTCATATTTAGACATTTTAGTTCTAAAAAGTTTTCTCATCATGTGGAGAGTTTTAATGGCTACTTCACCTCCAGAGAACTATCTCAATGGCTTCCCACCTTTTCTCTCTCCCAATTTACAAATTTATAATTTATTAAAAATGCAGAGCCAATAGCCCTCCCTTTTATTGACTTGGTTCGTATCATGTCCTTAGGGTTTTACCTTCTCTCCAATCTCCAAGTGTATTTTTTTAAAAAAAAAACAAACAAAAATTCTATACCGTAATGCTATAAGGGCTTAAGTTGAGATATATATCTAAGGCATTAGAGAGAGAGAGATCTCAACTAGAAATTCCTGTTCCAGGAGTTCAGAATATGGCCCCATAGGCCAAGGCAAATTTAGACCAGAATACCTAGCCTTTGTCTGCCAATTACTTAGAAGTGACTTCATTGATTTGTGTTAAATAAATGAAGATAAAATCTGAATGAACCTTAAAAGTGGGTGAGAATTAGTCTGCCTTCTTATTCTCCAAATAGACTTAAATCAGAGAAATTTATTGATGTGTATCTGTGTTTAAATGTATCCTTACTTTTTGCTGTTTCTTAAGATTCAGAATTTCATTAAGTCTCAGGATTCTAATTTCTAAGTTATAAAACTAACATATTCTTGAGTACAGGGATTTTTTTAAAAAGCTGGGATATCAAGTTTTTCTATAAACTATGATAATTCATACATAATTATACCTGACATCTAGCATTTATATCATGGCAGATGTGGAAAGAATTGCATTTATTTTTGATGGTATTTAACAATCTTTCTATCCACGAAAAATTGTGGGTCTTGTGTGTCTAAGGTAAACAAGTGCAGCTCTTTAGCTCATCTCTGCATTCCACATTTGCATATTTTACTTTTTCCCCCGATTCCTTTCATGATTGTTTGACTTTGCCTATATGGGTAGAAGGGGAGAGGGAAGAACAGACCAGTATTTGTTGTACTGAATAAGTTTCGAACACAGGGAGAACTGTTTAATTTCACTCTCATGACGGTTAGATGGGAGCTGTAAGCATTAGTGATGCTAGTTCACCATGATGCAAATTCAGCTTTCTTCTCAATTCCTGAGATTGGAAGTGCTGAATCTGCAGCTGCTGTGATATTAGTCTCTCTTTAACAAAATTTTTTTAAAACCTCTAGCATCTTTCATTTATCTTGGAAAAACCAAATATGTACATGCTGTACTTTCATTTTCTAAAGTTTCATTTAGAACAGATGACATGTGAATTTTTTCCAAGAAAAAAAATAGTTTCTTATCTGCTTTGACTTGTTGATTATTTCTAAGTGCTCAATTACCGAGAGCACTTCTTGGGTCTAGCTCTTCTGCTGATAGAACAGCAATGCCCCCTACTGATAAATTTCTGAAAACCTTTCCTTAGAAAATGAGAACATAAACCTCTCACTTACAGGCACAGTATTCACCAGCTTCCTCTGAAAAAGACGTGTGCTTCTAGGCTCATCTTAGTGTGACTTATTAGCCTCTCATTAGTGTAATTTCCTGAATTAGTCTTTGCTAAAGCAGCTATGAAGTTATTCCATGCTTGGCTGGCTTTATAAAAAATAATTTTAAAGATGTCAGCAGAGCTTTATACCTGACAAAATGGGAACCAGAACTATTTGATTATAGTAATGTAATTCCTGTTACATTATATTTATATTTAGAGTGGGAGAGTTCCTCATAATACCTTCATATTTGTCTTACTGTTTCTTCAGTATTTATAGAATTTCTGGTAGAGAGACTTTAAAGCCTGTTGTTCTAGATTTACTTGAATGCCTTCTAGTATTCTCTCCATCAAGTAATTGCCAGGGTTGTGCTTGGTTTTCCCTAGCAATAGAAAACACACTACCTATCAAAGCAAACTATAGCATCTATCTTTAAACAATTCCAAAAAAAGTCAATGCAAATTTTTTTCTGTTTAACTTCCAAATACCTATTGGACCAATTTTACCCTCTGGCTGTTATATTAACTTTTGCTGTAACAAATCTAATTTCTCATAATTCTTCTAATATTTGAACAGAGGAATCACATCCTTCTCCTGGCATTCTTCTCTTCCCTAGGAAAAGTAATAACTATCAGAGAAAAGGCAAATATTTCTATAAATGTGGACCAAAGGACAGAATGCCAGTAGAATATATAATTCCTATTTTTAAATCATAGACTAATTGTTACCCTCTCTCTCTAAACTCACACACACACACACACACACACATTTTCTTCATAGTTACCATAATACACTTGAAAAAATGACCATCTTTTTTTTCCTTTTTTAGTTAACGTGTAATAACTGTACATATCTATGGGTTATAGTGATATTTTGATACATGTATACAACGTGTAATGATCAAATCAGGATAATTAGCAAATCTAATACTTTGAACATTTTTTTCTTTGCATGTGAACATTCAAAATCCTCTCCTCTATCTTTTTGAAAATATGTATTATTGTTAACCCTCAAAAGCAAATGTAACAAAACCAAAAACAGACAAATAGGACTTAATTAAACTACAAGCCTTCTGCATAGCAAAATAAATAATCAGTAAGCAAACAACCTATAGAATGGGAAGAAAATGTTTGCAAACTATATATCTGACAAAGTGTTAATATCCAGAATCTACAAGAAACTCAAGAAAAACAAACTCATTAAAATGTGGGTAAAGGACAGGAACAGGTATTTTTCAAAAGACAACATACAAGTGTATCTTTAAATGTGTGAAAAATGCTCAACATCACAAATCATCAGAGAAATGCAAATTAAAACCACAACAAGATACCATCTTACACCAGTCAGAATGGCTATTATTAAAAAGTCAAAAAACAATAGATGTTGGCTAGGATGTGGAGAAAAGAGAACACTTATACACTGTTGGTGGGAATGTAAATTAGTACAGCCTCTGTGGAAAACACAATGGAGATTTCCCAATAGAACTGAAAATAGAACCACCAAATGATCCAGCAATCTCACTACTGGGTGTCTACCCTAAGGAAAATAAATCATCACATAAAAAAAGATACCTGCGCTGTTATATTTATCACAGTACTATTTACAATAGCACAGTCATGGAATCAACTTAAGTGTTCATCAACTGATTGAATAAAGAAAGGTCGTGTGTGTGTGTGTGTGTGTATAGCAAAAATTAAGGACACATTAAACACAGATACACATCTATAAATTTCTCTGATTTAAGTCTCTTTGGAGAATAAGCCTATATATACATATAGGCTATATATATATTCCATTGTGTATTCCATTTTATAGATGAGTAGTATTCCATTGTGTGCATATATATATATACACACACACACACACAAAATTCCATCATATATATACATATATATATAGCCTATATATATAGTCTATATCTATATATGTGTGTGTATATAGCCTATATATATATATACATATAGGCTATATATATATTCCATTGTGTATTCCATTTTATAGATGAGTAGTATTCCATTGTGTGCATATATATATATATATATATGCTATATATGTGTGTGTGTATATATATATATACACACACATATATATATACACACATTTCTCTGATTTAAGGCTATTTGGAGAATAAGCCTATATATATATATATGCTATATATATATACACACACACACAGGCTATATAGCCTATATATATATATATATATATATATGCTTATTCTCCAAATAGACTTAAATCAGAGAAATGTGTATATATATATAGCCTATATATACGTGTGTGTGTATATATATACATATACATACATATATATAGCCTATATACGTGTGTGTATATATATACATATACACACATATATATACATATACACACATATATATACCCTATATATATGCCCTATATATATACCCTATATATATACCTATATATATACACCTCTCTATATATACCTATATAGAGAGAGGTATATATACACCCTATATATACATCCTATATACATACCCTATATATATATAGGGTATGTATATAGGATGTATATATACCTCTCTATATATAGAGGTGTATATATATATATGGGTATATATATAGGGTATATATATATGATGGAATTGTGTGTGTGTGTATATATATATATGCACACAATGGAATACTACTCATCTATAAAAAAGAATGAAAGAAAGTCTTTTAGCAACATACTTCGATGGAATTGGAGGCCATTATCCTAAGTGAAATAACTCAGAAACAAAGTCAAATACTGCATGTTCTCACTTGCAAGTGGGAGCTAATCAATGGGTACACATGGACGTAGAGAGTGGATTAATAGACATTGGAGACACTAAAAGGCGGAAAAATAGGAGGAGAGTGAGGGTTGAAAAATTACCTGTTGGGTGCAATGTCTGCTATTCAGATGATGGGTAGGCTAAAAGCCCAGACTTCACCTCTGTGCAATATATTCGTGTCACAAAACTGCACTTGTACTCCCTAAATACATAAAAATAAATTAAGATTATTGTTAGCCATACTTATACAGAACACCAGAAGTCATTCCTGCCATCTAGTTGTAGCTTTCTATTCATTAACCAACCTCTCTTTATCCTCCTTTCCTTCTTACCCTTCCAGCTTCTAACAATCGCAGTTCTATTTTCCCCTTCTATGAGCTCACTTTTTTTTTTTTTAGCTCCTACACATGCAGTGTTTCTCTTTCTGTGCCTGACTTAACATAATATCCTCAAGGCTTACTCATGCTGAATAAATAGCTGAATTTCATTGAGTGTGTGTGTGTGTGTGTGTGTGTGTGTACATATATACCATATTTTCTTTATGCATTTATTTGTTGGTGGACATTTAGGCAATTCTGTATCTTTGGTATTGTGATTAGAGTGGCAATAAACGTGGGGGTGCAGGTATCACTTCCATATACTTCCTTTCCTTTGGATGAATACCCAGTAGTGGGATGGCTGGATTGCATGGTAGTTTTATTTTTAGTTTTTTCAGAAAGTTCCATACTGTTTTCTACAATGGCTGTACTAATTTACATTCCTACCAGCAGTGTATGAGTTCCCTTTTTGGGGACTAGAGGTGGGAGAGAGGGAGGTAAGGGTAGAAAGACTGTTGGGTACTCTGCCTAGTAATGGGTGATGGGATAATTCATACCCCAAATCTCAGAATCATGCAATATATCCAGGTAACAAACCTATACATGTGCCCCTAAATCTAAAATAACAGTTGAAAAAATAAGATTTGATTCCTAAAAAACAGTAACAGTTCCTTTTTCATTGCATCCTTGATAGCAGTTATTTTTTCATAATAGGCATTCTAACTGGGATGAGAAAATAATTCATCGTGGTTATGATTTGCATTTCCATGGTAACTAGGGATGTTGAACATTTTTTCATGTACCTCTTGGCCATTGGTATGGCTTTTGAGAGATGTCTATTCGGATCATTTGTCCATTTTTAATCAGATTTTTATTGTTGAGTTATTTGAGCTCCTTGTATATCCTGGATATCCCCTTGTTAGATGAATAGCTTGCAAATATTTTCTCCCATTCTACAGGTTCTTCCTTCACACTGTTGTTTCCTTTGCTGTGCAGAAGCTTTTGAGTGTGATATAGTTCCATTTGTCTATTATTTGTTGTTGTTGCCTGTGCTTTTGAAGACTTACCCATAACATTTTTGCCTAGACCAATGTCCTAAAACATTTCTCTTAAGTTATCTCCTAGTAGTTTTATAGTTTCAGGTCTTACATTTAAGTCTAATTCATTTTAAGTTGATTTTTGTAAATGATGAGAAATAGGGGTATAGTTTTATTCTTCCGCCTATGGAGATCCAGTTTTTTTCTGCATCACTTATTGAAGAGGGTGTCCTTTTCCCAGTGTATATTCCCAGCACCTTTGTTGAAAAATCAGTTTACTCCGAATATGAGGATTTATTTATGGGTTCTCTGTTCCATTTCATTGGTCTGTATGTCTGTTTTTATACCAATACCATGCTGTTTTGCTTAGTATAGCTTTGCAGTATATTTTGAAGTCAGGTAGTGTGATGTCTCCAGCTTTGTTATTTTTGCTAAGTACTGCCTTGGCTATTCAGGGTCTTTTGTGGTTCCATACAAATTTTAGAATTGTTTTTTTCTCTTTCTCTGAAGAATATCATTGGCATTTTGATTTGGGATTTCATTGCATCTGTGGATTTCTTTGGGTAGCACAGTCATCTTAACAATATCAATTCTTCTAATCTATTAGGATGACATGAAAAAATTACTGTCTTTGAACTAAGTAGAAAAGAGACAATTTCAGCTTCTATGAAAATGTGACTTGAATGTTCTTCGAAAGATTCAATCTCACGGTTCCTTCATAAATGCCTTGAAATTGTTATCCAACCTCCCTTCTTAGCCCACATATTTTTAAGCAAGCAGTGTCAGACGAGGATTTCCAATAAAGTTGGGAAATTACTGAAGTTGGATTAAGGTTTAGGAAAATCAGCCAATGTCTTACAAGGCCAACTGGATCTTTGTTAAATGCTTGTCATTCCATTGAGTGCCCTGCCACTTCAGGCAGATGTAGAATCAGGATCCTGGTGCTTTCTGTGTAAGTCTCATTCCCTCCTTTTATTTGCAGTGCTATTTGCTAAGTGTATAGGTAGCCAATAATGAAGGCATTGCCATACTTTACTTGAACACGGTAAAACAAGCAATGACCTTAAGCCATTAATAACTGGGACCAATAGCCACACAAGTGTTCATGGGCTTGTTTTGCTACCATGTCTTCAAAGTTGCTTTTTGCTATTATAATTTTCTAAAAATAATGCAAGATGGTTGTATGTCTTGTGTTCTTTCCAAAGCAGACACTGAGATGGAATAGGTACATGAAAGGTTTATTGGGGAATATACATGTGAAGAGAGAGGCAGCAGTACTGGGCAAGTGGAGACATTGCTCATGATGCAGACAGATGAGGTCTCTGTGAGCCTAAGGGAGTTGTTCTAGGGCAAAGATTGCTCATTCAAGGAGTCCTCAGTTGTACAGAAATGGCTAGACCAGGGGTGTCCAGTCTTTTGGCTTCCCTGGGTCATACTGGGAGAAGAACAATTTCCTTGGGCCACACATAAAATATACTAACACTAACAGTAGCTGATGAGCTTTGAAAAAAATCACAACAAAATCTCATGTTTTAAGAAAATCTATGAATTTGTGTTGGGCCACATTCAAAGCCGTCCTGAGCCACATGCAGCCTATGGGCTGCTGGCTGGACAAGCTTGAGATAGACCTTCACACCCCATTTTGGTTAGCCATTGACTGGGGACACCTAAGAATGTGGCGTTGGCTACCATTGCCTTATGGCAATGGCTACTCAGCCATTGGCTGGGGCCTTATCTGAAAAGAGCAAGCTCACAGCTCAGATATGAGGTAGACGACCCTGAAGGAGCTAACAGCTGGAGGGTGCCAGATAATCACATTCCTTGTAACTGGGCAGCAAAACCTTTCTTGAAGGAAGATCTGAGTGGTAAAAGTCAGTTTTTGGCACAACGGTTTATCGTTACCAAATCAATCAATCAACATTTGTAGTGGTTGCTTTAGCTGTTTCTGGGTAACAAACCACCCTATTTTAATAGTTAAAAGCCCCAAATGTAATCATTTATTTTTTAAAATGCATTTTATTTTGCACAGAAATTTGTGGATCAGGAATTCAGAAAGAATCTGGCTGATTGGCTCTTGCTTAGGCTTTTCATGTGGCTGCAATTATCTAAGTTATCTACCAGGGAATCCAAAATGGTTCAGAAGTCATTGGCAGTTGAAGCTGCCTGTTAGCTAGGAGTTTGCTGGCACTAACAGCACCAACATGTGTCCTCTTTATGAGCCTTGGGCTTCTCACAGTATGAAAATGAGTGAGTGACTTTGGAGTGTGGGTACTTCAAGAAGAGACATTCCAAGAGACCAAGGGAGGAGCTGGAATTCTTTTTTTTTTTTTTTCTCTGATATAGTCTCGGAAATCTTGCCATACCCTTTTAATCCCATGCTATTGGTCAAGCAAACCACCTTCAGGGAGAGGAGAATTAGATTCAACCTCTCAGTGAGAGAAGCAGCAAAGAACAAATTCTTTGCTGTCAACTTTGATCTTCCATCTTTGTGTTTTATTAGAATAAGAGTGCTTGCTCTCAATTCTATTACAGTAGATACTGTTAAAATTCTTTTTGATTTGTGATGCCTCACCAAAATGATTTCCATTTCTTCAATCATTGCTTCTTTGACATGATGTTGGTGCCTGATTGTTCTCTTAATGTTTTTCAGTTTATATCTGCCTTAATCTAAGAGCAGCATCATACCAAGTATTCTAAATATAGACTGATCACCCTACAGAAAAGCAGAACTATCACTGCCTATATGTTCTAGAACTGCTAATGGAGCCATGGGAGACAGAAGCTTTTGTGGAAGTGATGCCACAATATTCATGCACATTGAGTTAACCTATTCCAGAAACATTAATTAAGTGCTCACTGTGTACTGGTAACTATAAGTACTGAGGCTACAATGATAACTAGAACTTGGCAACTTTCCTTGAGGAGCTCACAGTTTAATGGTGAGCATTGTCATGCAAACAAGTAATTATTGTTCTCTGTCATGTGCTATAACAGGAAAATAAGGCTCTAAGTGAACACAGAGGAGAAAATTTCTAATGCTTCCTAGAAAAAATAAAGAGGTTTCGCAGTGCCTGTGAACACTTATTATGCCTCAAAGAAATTCATTAGGCAAAGAAATGAAAGAAAGAATAATTGTAGCAGAAGGAAAAGCATATTAATAGGCACAGAGGTATAACAAAGTGAGACACATGTAGGTAACCTTACCTGAAGTAGAAATGTATGATTCATCAATTGGATATTTGCAGGCGACAGCTATGAGATGAGGTTGGAAAGGTAGAGAGGACCCAGGTCGTCAGAATCTTAAATTTCACAGTAGGGAGTTGGGATTTTTATCCTCTAGAAAAAGGACATCAATTAACTTTTTAGAAAAAAAATATATTAGTGGAAGTGAAGCAAATGGACTCTTCTGGACCAGAGCAAGACCCAAAGTTGGGAATCTAGCTAAGAGACTTGTGCTGGAAAGAAGTGATGAGGGCCTGAATTAAAGAGCAGCAGATATGAAGAGGAACAGTTTTGAGTCATATTAAGAATATTAAATTGATCAGATTTACAGTCTGGCTAAATATGGAGTGTAGAAAAGAAAGGAGGACTCATGGATGACTCTCCATTTTCTGTCTTGAGTAACTGTATAGATAGTTGTCTAATTTTCAGAGAAGGAAGTACTGTGAGAGGAGCCTTCAGGAGGTGGAGGGAGGGAACATTATGGTTCAGATTGGAAAATCTTGACTATAAGGTGCCTAAGAAATTTCTAGGAGGAGATGTTAAGTGTGGATTAAGAAATAAGGGTCTAGAGCTCAAGAGAGTGTTTTGGGCTGGTACTCTAGGTCTGTGAATCATCAAAGTATAGGTGGTAGTGGAAGCCACTGGAAAAGCTTAGTAGAAAGTAAGGTCTAGAACTTAGGAAAGGGGTTCACATGATAAATGAATATTTCAACATACAAGAGATAGCTGAAACCCTGGGAGTATATGACATTCCTCCCAGCACAGTAGGGAAAGAATACGGAGTTGATGGTAGAACCCTGGAAAACATGACCATTTGAGGTGTGCACATGAGGAGAATTGATGAAAGAGACTTGAGATGGAATTCTGAGAGCTAGGAAAATAACCCCAAAAAAAGGGAGGTTAGGGCAGAGATATATTCAAGAAAAAATGGAGTGAACAGGAGTGTCAAATGCTGCAGAGACATCAAATAATGTTAGGACTGAAAAGTGCCTAATGAATTTTTCAATTAGGAGGTTATTGATGACTTTAATGAGATGATTTGAGAAGAGTGGAGGAAGTCAATGAAGTTAACCCCCATGTAGCTTTGCAGTGTAGGAATGTAAACAGATTGAGTAAAGGCAGTAAAAATTTAAAAGAAAAAAAATCAAAGCATGGCTTTATTTTTTGTTTTGTTTTAAATGTTGAGATATGTTCAGAAGCAGTGAAGATGAAGAGATTCAAGATTCAGAAAGACGAAAAATAATTAATAGGGTTACAAGAAAGCTAAATTAGTTGACAGCTGAGAATGAATAATTTTTTTTTTTGGTATTTCTGTTAAGTTACATCTACGCTCTCTCATCATCACCCAGTATCTGAGCATCACCCAGTATCTGAGCAACAAATTCTTTTAGAACAAAGTGTTAGGAGTTTCCATTTTTTATCTCTATGATTTAAAAAAAAATTCAGTCTCTCATTTCAGATATAGTATTGACTAAGATAGTAGGTTATTTGCACATATAAGTCTCTATAATTTGGAGATAATCTTTTTTCTAGGTTGACATACAATAAAATGCATCTTTGATGTAGTGAAAATCATACTGAAGACAATGTTAAAACCAAAAATTTTTATTCATTAAAAGATGCCATAAAATAAAAAGTTAAGCCAATAAATACCTGGGAAAATTTGTTAATATGTATCTGATAGAAGATTAGTGTCCAGAATTTATTAATAACTACAAGTCAACTAAAAGAAAAATAGAATGCAAAAAAACACATAAATAGGCATTTTATTAAAGAGGAAACATGAAAAGATGGCCAACCTTATTAGTCATTAGAGAAGTGCAAGTTAAGAATACAATACACCTACTAGTACTATATTTACTAGCTGAAAGACTACACCAAGAATGGATCCTGTGAGTAGTTAAGAATTCTAAAACCCTGCTGCTAAGCATGGAAAAGAAAAACCACTTTAAACACAATTTGGTGTTATCTTACAAAGTTGAGTGTGTACATTAACCTATGTTCCAGAAACTCCACTTGTTATCACTTGCCCTAAATAAACTTTATACATGTCTCACTAGACATGATCAAGATAATTCATAGCAATTTTACCTTATAGCAAAAAAAAGAGCTCAATTTAAACAATGAAAATAAATGAACTTCAGCTACGTGCAAGAATGTGGATAAGTATTGCAATATAACGTGTGGTGAAAAAACATGACTGATATACCATTTTTATTTAAATATATAATTTAGGTAAACATACAATGTTCAATGAAATGATAAATATAAAATTCAGAAAAATGTTGACCTCTTTAGGGATTGTATCAGGTTAGGGTTGCAACAAGATACAGTAGGCTAAGATTAGAGCTGTATATATGAGAAGTCTCTGTGTCATTGATGATGTCAAAGATTTGGTGATATATCTAGGTATCTATTTTATTATGTGTCCAACTTACACTATATATTTTTTCTAGTGCATATCAAGTATTAAACGCTAAAAGAGTAAGAATCCACTGGACTTGGGAGAGCTCTGTATTCTTACCCAGGTTCTTTTGTTTTCTCTGGAACCACAAAAAAGTTACTTGTCTGATCTTTGGTTCCCTCATCTGTAACTGGAAAGACTGAGTAACCTCTACAGTGCTTTCCAGCTCCAAGAATCTTTAGTCCCATGAGCCAAAGAACTAACATGGTCTGTAAGTCAGGGAACTTCTCCAAGTAGCTGTCAAATTACATATTTTGACATAGACTCCAAATAGGGTAAAGGGACAAAGAATATTAATCTGCTAGGTTATTCTAAATACATGGAAAATCCAAATAAGGAAAGACAAATAAGGTTGTATTTGGTTATTTGAAACTATATTGTTTTACCTCTGGGTCAAAGGGCTACTTGACCATAATCTCCCATATACCTCTCAAAATTGAATATGAATATATATATATATATATATATATATATATATATATATATATATATATATATATAGATAGATAGATAGATTTGTATAAGCACTGAAATCTAGGGAAAATGACATTTAAATGGCAAAAGTCTCAATATCTCCAGATATGACACAGATTGACTCATAGGAAGAGAGAAGACACTGAGGCCAACTTAACAAACTTCTTACCCACCCTAAGAAAGGAGTAGTAGCACATGAAATAAAAAACAAAACTCCTTAGAAAAACTCTATTAACATTCCCTAATTAAGAGGACAGGGACAGACTGTGGGACACACAGGCTTAAACCACTTGGCTGACTTTTCACCAATGCTAATCAACATACTAGCAAATGATAATAGCACATTTATAGTGTGTACTATATGCCAGAGATAGTTCTGAGCTCTTCAGGTAATTAGCTTATTGGTAGATACTATTGTTTCCATTTTACAGATGAAGGAACTGAGTTATAGAGAATTTAAGTGATTCTCTACAGTTAGTGAGTGGCAGAGGCAAGATATAAACCCAATCTCTTCCCTTCTAGAGTCTGGTGCCTTAATCACAGAATTATACTATCTCTCAACAGCAAAAGAAAGTAACTATATCTGGTGCCCATTGCCGTAATACCAGTGTGTAACAAAGCACTCCAAAATTCAGTGGCATACAACAGTAGGCATTTATTTAGCTTGTATGTTGGTTGTCTAGACCATACTGGGCCGTTTTCCTGTTCTTGTCTGGGGACACTCCTAGGTCTCAGAGTTAACCAGCTATTGTCTGTGGTGCACACATCTGGGAGTTACTTTGCTGTCACCTGCATGACTCAGCTCTCTTCTATGAATCTTTCACATCCTTCCACCTAGCTAACCCAGTTGTATTCTCCTGGCAGAGGTGCAAGAGCAGTTATGAACTCTCAAATGCTTCTGCTTGTAGTCACATCAGCACACATCTCTACTGGCTGAAATAAGTCACTCTTCCTATTTAGTGAGAGAAACTACAAGGGAAATGGCATGTGTATATGGGAGGTCTCATAGAAGAATTGAGGCCTCTAACTCATTAATTTACCATAAAACCACACTAAGAGGTGCCCAAAGCAGCTTCTGCGGCAATGACAAGACTCCTTCCTGAAGCCATGAGCAGCAGCTCCTGGAAGGAGGGACGCCCAACAATGTGTCATTTGGATCCAAGCTTTAAGACAACTGGATTCAGAAACGTGGTCTCCACGGAAGATTTTTCCATGGGAGAGAAAAAAACAGAAGCAGCAACACAAAGGCAACTCCAGCAGCCTTCCTCAGGCTTCTAGATGACCACATTGGGTCTTACATCAACCACTTAGCATCTGAGAGGCGAATTTGCACAGCCACCATAGAAAAAGGAAGGGGGCCTCAAGAGAGATTTATGAGGAAAAGTGTTTTCAGTTTCTGATGGGGTTGACAGTTACCACATGTCAATCTACAAAGCATCTCTGGCTGGTGGTTGTCTTTAGGCACTTGAGAGAAAGTGGGTGTGCAGTAGTCTGGGTATGGGTAGTAGTCTGGTATTACCATCTAGCTGCTAATGTCTGAATCTTGCCTTTCACCCATTTACTAAACAAGCACACGTAGAGCATTTACCATGTACCAGACTCTGAAAACACATGAGCTGTGCTGTGTTTGCAATCACTGGGGATCTCTTAGTCTGGAGCGCTGATTTTTCACTGGCCCCCAGGTAGAGGGATGTGTCTTTCAGGCCCAGGGTACTCCTTGAAATATTGTAGGAATTAAAGCAGCCTGATTATTGCTGTTCTGTTTCCTAAGGCTCCTCAGTCTCTGAACATGCTGAGTGAGTATAACCACCTCTTAAGTATATCCAGCTAAGTTTTTTTTCTGATTCTCAGGGAATAGAGTTCTTATTCTCCTTCACAGAAAAATAAATAAACTCTGTTCAGGAAAAGGGTGGCCTAAGACTGGGTGAGCTCATATAGCAATACTAACAATTTTAAGGATCTACTTCTGGAGACAGTAGAGGGTGAGGTATAAGGTGTCAGGTGATGAAGCTCAGACCAGCTCCCTGACTACTCACCCTAGTTATGGCAGTTCGGACATCAAAGATGTCAAAAATGTGAAGACACCATTGAAATGATCTTTCACACACTGAGTTCCCTACCCTCTGGTGGCCATTGCAAGAGGTCAGAAAGCAGGCAGTCAAAAATGAAAAGATACCTGTCATGAACAACATTAACTGTGTAAGAATATAACTTCCTGAACCTTTTTAGCTCAGCATGCTTGGCCTAAGTCAAATGCTCTAAATGTATCTTACAAAGTACTTTCACATTTCATTGAATAAATTTCAACTGCAAATACCGACAAGGCATGCTCAGGCATAAGAATCCTAGTATAATAGCAAAGTAGTTAGAGTGCCAAATGATACAGATTATGCATTGTGCTATGTTCAGAAAGTTTTAAAGAGGAACAATCATTTTCAAAAGAACCAGAAATCAATCAGAGAGGATAAAAGTGAGAAAAGGAGGCTTAGATTACTTTTCATAACCTCCAGTCAAGCATGGATATCCACAGAGTGACAGTTTTTCATACGAATCAGGAGATTATGAGCTCTGAGATCCTTTCCCCTATCATGTGTATTAGGATAATTGTTTCTCTAATTCAAATCTCTAAGCAGCTTAATACCTGTTCTTATCTTATTTCAATTTAGAGAAAACAACGAAAATACTGTATCTGCTGTGTGTCTGCTTCTCCAAGTGAAACTTTAAATTACTCCAAGCTCTGAGCTTAAGTGGTTGACCAAATAGGTTAGGCATTCCTTCTAAATATAAAAAGGTGAAGAAAGACTTTCTGAGGCCAAAACTCAAAAAGTGGTCTTAAGATTGTCAGGGGAGTATAATAACATCTTCCTACCAAAATACATCTGGGAACAACTTAATCTAAGATTAGAGGGTAAAAAACAAAACAAATCTTTGCTGCATTCAATGCTGTGAGTTAGGTAGAACCACCATGATTATACCAAATTCCACGCCAAACTTCATGATATGCCAACACTATTAGGTGACAGATTTGGGGATTTATCTGTAGCAAAAGATAGCCATCCTCACTGAAGCCATTTGGCTTCCTACAAAATTAAACCATCAGTGAGCAAATGTCTAGCAGTATCTCATGCTAGATTGCCTCTTGTGTGCCTCTCTTCTGGAGAAGATGCTTTGAAACTAGAGTTTTCTCATCTCAGGACCTTGTGGGTACTTCTTTAAGTGAGCTTAGAAATCATTCAAGCATGTATTTAAAACCCCATGATATTCTATCTCATTTTAGAACCTACTATCTAAAAAGGTGGTACCACTTGTGTTATCAGGGGTGGCCCAATTATAAACGATTGGTAATGACTGTCTGGAGTACCATGTGGAAAAGATCAACAGGAAAGAGTCCCAAAAATTATTGGCACATCTGTCATAATCATGGATGGAGGAGGGTGGCGCATATAGCATGTTTTTGTCATTTCTAATTCTGTTGACTCTATACTATTTTTTTTCCTCACATTTTCTCACTTCTTTAAACACAGGAAATGGCAGCCCGGTTAGGTGTGGAAAAGTGCTTAGATCCTCCACATTTTGAACAATGAAGATGGTCTAATGTGTGTCATTGTCTGATCGTTTAGTTAGGTGAGCGTTATGAAATGGTACAGGTTTTTCTCAACTACAAATACCCAACATAGGAATACTAGAAGTGGACAACTGGTCTTCGCTCTGGAGATAGAGAAGATGCAACTCCTAGAATCCCAAAGAGCAAGAAAAGGTTTTGTAGCTGGCACATCTCTTCTCATCTCTTGCTGGACAATGGGCACAGCTGTATTTGAGGGCTTATGTTTTCTGGAGATGATTGCTTTCCTTTCTCTACATTGTCGTCCACACCCAGTACAGTAGTAGGGGTTCAACCGATATTTTTTGCAATAAGAATTAAATCCGTGCTGCCTAGTGCTAGATTGCCACAATTTAGGAAACACTTTACATGATAAAAATGTTTTTTAAATGACTGCATTTCTACGTTAGTACCAAAGGCTTATTACTTTTTCCAATTTATAGCACAACATGGAAGAGCACAAAACAGAAGATCTAGCTCTTCCTCCCTTCTCAATACAGCCCCACCATTCTGCCTCAAAGAACACTGGGACTAATTCTGTCATGCCCTTTGTTCCTATCTTAGAAAATAAGGACTCTGGGTCTTCTCTCACCCTGTGGTTCTTGTGCGCACACAGCTCTGTGCATCTCGAACTGATTCCATCCTCCTCCTTTTCAAAGAGCACCCTCTTATGCTTACTCAAAGTATGAGTTGCTCTATGAATTCCAAAACTCACCCGCAATCAGCAAAATCCATTACATTCTTAAAGTTGTCTGAATAGTACCTTCCCTTTCCTACTGGAAATTTGGCTCTCCTTAATTATATTGCTTCCCTAGAGCCCTCCCAAGTGGCCATGTCTTATTTCCCATATCTCTTGTACTAATGGACTTAGTGACAGGCTAGGTGTTGTTTTTGCTCCTCATTGCTTCTTCCAGACTAATGTCCTGCTCTCCTCCTTAAAATTAATCCACTTGGAAACTCTTACCATCAATCAATACCACTAACCCTGCCTCCTTGCTGCAGTTATACATAGTTGTTAAAAAACGAAAGAAGTCTTTGCTGCATTCAATGCTGTGAGTTAGATAGAATCACCATGATTATACCAAATTCCATGCCAAACTTCATGATATGCCAACACTATTAGGTGATAGATTTGGGGACTAAACTGTGGCAAGAGATAGCCATCCTCACT